>NC_000014.9:72338985-72490500 GCF_000001405.40 Homo sapiens | reverse complement strand
GCACATCCTCTGTCCTATAAATCTCCTGCAAGGTATGCATCTTCCCTGGGGCCAGGCTTCACCAATAAGAGCTGTATTAGTTTGTTTTCATGCTGCTGATAAAGACATACCTGAGACTGGGCAATTTATAAGAGAAAGAGGTTTAATGGACTTACAGTTCCATGTAGCTGGGGAGGCCTCACAATCATGGTGGGAGGCAAGGAGGAGCAAGTCATGTCTTACATGGATGGCAGCAGGCAAAGAGAGCGAGCTTGTGCAGGGAAACTCCCATTTTTAAAGCCATCAGATCTCATGAGACTTATTCACTATCATGGGAACAGCACAGGAATGACCTGCCCCATGATTCAATTACCTCTCACTGGGTCCCTCTCACAACACATGGGAATTCAAGACGAGATCTGGGTGGGGACACAGGCAAACCATATCAAGAGCTTTACGACATCTCAGGCAGAATGAACCTGGGCAAGGGAGCTGTAAGAAAGCACTATGGCAGGAAGGACCAGGCTACAAGTTGGTGCTGCACCTGGAAGCCACTTCTTAGCTACTTGGGCTGATTGAATTCTTTATAAAAGAAATGGCATTGCATGTTGAGGAATATGTTAGTTTTCTAGGGCTGCAATAACAAATGACCACAAATGGTTAAAACAACAGAAGTTTATACTCGGTTTTGGAGGCTAGAAGTCTGATATCAAGGTGTTGGCAGGGCCATCCTCCCTCCGAAGGCTCTAGGGGATAATTTCACCTCGCCTCGCCTCGTCTCACCTCGCCTTGCCTCTCCTTTCCTTTCCTTTCTTTTCCTTCCAGTTTCTGGTGGCTCCAGGCATGCCTTGGCTTGTGGCTGCATCACTTTCATCTCTGTCTTTGTCTTCACATGGCTTTCTTCTGTGCCTGTGTCATCCGCTCTCTTTTTTGTCTTATGAGGACACTTGTCATTGGATTTGGAGTCTCTGGATAATCCATAATGATTTATGTAGATATCCTTAACTGAATTACATCTGCAAAGACTCTTCCCAAAGGAGGTCACATTCACAGGTTTCACAGGTAAGGCCTAGGACCTATCTTTTGGGGCTCCACTATTCAACCCACTACAGGGAATGTGAGAGAGCAAGCTGGATGTGGGGATACAGAGAGAACACTGGGCTACCTGTCTCCTTTGCTCAGATCAGCACAAAGACAAGCCAGCAGCAGAAAACCGAAATCCTGTTCAGGGGGTGACGAGTTGTACTGAGGTGCCCCAGAGGATCTGAGTCACGATGACATATTGGGGGGTTCTCCCAATTATGAGGCATTTCAGCATCCATGGCATTCTCAAAATCTGAGATGAGCAAACAGCCGGTGGGGGGGCCCCCTTTGTCCTCCCAGGACATCTGCCCTGGCCATTCCAATAATCTCAGCCTTAGTTAGCTTTGAATCTCAAATAAAAGACATCCACTTGGCAGCTCAAGGCAAAAGGTAGGACCTCTTTTAATTAATTACGTTATTGGGGAATTTTTTTTTAAGACCAGAAATAGATTTCCCTGAAGTAGAACATAGGGATTGAAAAATGAAATGTCCTCCCCTCCTCCCTCTTGCTTCCTTAGATTTCAATGAGACAGGCTGGGGTTTTTATCAGACCCCTCCCCAAATGTGTTCTAGCAGATCCTCGATGTGGTCACATCTCCAACCTGGGAAGTGGGGTCCAACCAGCCAGGTCAGGTCCTGTGGACAAGTCCCCATATGGAGCCCTGAGTGAGTGCTGGGCTGAGGGGACAATAGGGAAGGCTCAGGAGAGGCTGTGGTGAGAGTTCAGCCAGCACCTGGTCCCAAGAGGAGCCTGCAGGCTCCAGCTGCCTATTACTATATGCATGGCAATGAAGGCAGCTGTCCGCTGACCAGCCTAAGGCAGTAGAATCTTAAAAGTCCAGAGAGCAACTAAGGAAATGGGAAATAATATGATTATTTAAGCTGTAATGAAATACAGGCTCATAGCCAGATCTCTTTAAGAAAAATCCTGGAATATCATTAGAGAAGTGGGTGGAAGAGAGGTGGTGAGAGCTCATGGTGATGTTGGTTTAGGAGAATGTGGTTGAGAGCCCAAGGTGAGATTTTTGTGACCACCCAACATAAGAGCAAAAAATATGACTTTGCAACAGGCATTAAGCATGAATGAAATTGTTCCTGGGAGCTTGTGCCATGTCATGCCTTCTCTAAAAAAGGTCTAGGCAAGAGGCGTCAAGACATGCTATAGAGGAACACGTGGAGAAGGAACACAGAAAGTCCTGACAACCTGAACCAGGCAACAAAGCCAAAGTCATTACGAGCAACTAATCTGCTGGCCAGTGTCAGAGATGAGTGGTACTGGTCGGAAGGGAAATTTATTGTATTAGAAGAGGGAAATCTATTTTGTTAAGTTACATAAATAAAGTCAGAGGCTTTGTAAAGGAAACAGTAAAATTAGATGGGCATACATATTTTGAATGTTGTATTTTATTGATGGGAAAAGGAAGTATTGAATCATCAGAATGAGACATACACGTATTGGGGCTATAAGAGGCACTCCTAGTCAGCGGGGTGCTCGGAGATGCTGGTATATTAAAGACAAAGAGGATGAACAATTTGGCCTTCAGATTCTATGAGAAGGGGAGAGACTGGGGTTTTATATTTGTTTCTAAGGGCTGCTGGAACAGATTATCTCATATTTAGCAGCTGAAAACAATACAAATGTATTGTCTTATAATTCTAAGAGTCAGAAGTCTGAAATGGGTCTCACTGAGCTAAAATCAAGGTGTCAGCAGGGCGATGTTCCTTCTGGAGGCTCTAGGGAAGAATTCATTTGCTTGCCTTTTTCCAGCTTCTAGAGGCTCCCTGCATTCCTTGGCTCGTGGCCCCCTTCCATCTGCAAAGCCAGCTATGGTTTTCTCATGCTGCATCACTCTGACACCGACTCTTCTGCCTCTCTCTTCCACATTTCCGGGAACCTGTGATTATGCTGGGCCCATCTGGGCAATCCAGGATAATCTCTCTATTTTAAGGTGAACTGATTAGCAACCTTAAGTCCACCTGCAACCTGAATTCTCCTTGCCATGTAACATAACCTATTCACAGGTTCTGGGGATTAGAACATGGACATCTTTGAGAGATCATTATTCTGCCTACCACAGGTGTAGTTTGACTGCAATTTATGTGAAAAAATAAATGTATTATTATGTATTTCTTACTATATTTATCTATGTAGAAAATAAAGTCACCTGGAGGAGAGTGTGGCAGTAGATAAAAGGTGCATAATGGCACCGCCATGTTTTATTTTGCTGCCACTATCACAACCCACGCAAATAAACCCAGTGTTCATGAATCTATGCACCCTCATTTGTCCTATTTGCCATCATCATTGCATGGAAAAGACAGGAGACAGCAAAGTGCATCTTGGAGTTTCCCATGGGTGACCTGGGCATTTAGCAGTCTGCTGCCTCAACTGCTCTCCCAGCTTCTTGGTGGGAGGGGAGGGTGATCCTTCCCAGAGAGAGTAGCAGAGAGGGTTAACTTCACAGCTGGGGTAGCCAAAGACTGAGAGGAGGTGAAAGAACACCCCACGCTGGGCAGAGAGGGAAGGCGATCTCCTCTTCCCTTATGCTTCTCAACATCATCAGACTGTGCAGAAACAGCACAAGAAATGAAAGCAAGGACTCCTTACCCTTTCCTTGCTCTCCTGTCTCTTTAGTCTGGGCTGGAGGTGCCTTATGCCTGGTAGCTAGAGCTTCCAAGGTGGGACACAGGAAAGAAATGAAGGTTGGCCACATAGGATAAGATCTAAGCTTAATGCAGAGAGTTAAAAGGCTTTTGGGTTTGTGCCTAGGCTGTCCAGCACCATTTCTTAGGCATGAAAGGAGATCCAAATGGAGATAGAAGTGCTGCCTAGGAATACAGTGAATGTACAAGGGTTGACCCTTATGCTGGGTCTCTTGGGAATCTGAGTGAAGCAGATAGGGATTCTGGATGGTGAGTACTCCAAAATGGGTGAGCAGGCATAGAGGGCCTCTATGGGTTTCTGCTCACTTCTGCTTGTCTCCTGAGAATTGTACTCTGACATGTACACAAGGCTACTTCAGGAGCTGCCATGTATTTATTTATAAGCCCTGCTCCTGGCCATGGTTGATTTGTCCAGGAACAGATACCTGACGCAAGTGAGGTTCATATCTTCTTTCCCCAGCTTCAGCAGTAGAAGCTTGTATTAGTCCATTCTCCTGCTGCTATGAGGAAATACCCAAGACTGGCTAATTTATAAAGGAAAGAGGTTTAATTGACTCATGGTTCAGCATGGCTGGGGAGGCCTAGGAAACTTACAATCATGGGGGAAGGGGAAGCAAACATGTCCTTCTTCACATGGTGACAGGAAGGAGAATGAGAACTGAATGAAGGGGGGAAGCCCTTTATAAAGCCATCAGGTCTCATGAGAACTTACTATCATGAGCATAGCATGGGGGAAAACACCAGCATGATTCAATTACCTCCCACTGGGTCCCTCCCATCACGTGTGGGGATTATGGGAACTACAATTCAAGATGAGATTTGGGTGGGGATACAGCCAAACCATATCAAAGTTGTATAGTCACAAAGTTCAAGGGCTGGTGGTGTCATGTTTCCTAACACATGTCTGTCATGAAAGAGAATAAGGTCAGCATGGAAAGTGGGCAGGACCAGAGAGGAAGAATGGGTCTTGGAGGCACTGAAGGCCCTGGCTCCAGCTTTTCCTGAGCTCAGTAGCATTGCTGCCTTTCCCAGGGTTCAATTCCACAGCCCCTTCTTGTATTCTGGGAGCCAAGGCATGCTTCTATTTTGCAGAACCAGGTTCAAGCTGGGGTTTTATTGCTTGGAATCAAACCAATACAGTTGAAAAGGGAATGAAGGTGATGGGAGTGTGAAGGCAAGTTCATCAAGGCAGCCCTTTGTAGAACTAGCCAGAGAGGTTGTCTCTTTCAGAACATGTGCTTCCTGGTAGTGTACAGATTACAAGATGAACAGAGTCTGCTTGGGACACACAAGACAATGAGAAGGCCAGGCAGGCCAATGAAGGAGGCAGCAATGGCCAACGCACAGTACCATTTCAGTCCAAAGTCAATACCAATGACCACAGAAAGACTAGAGGTAGGAGAGGAGAAGCAAAAAGGGAGAAGAAAATAGAGGTATGTAAAGAGCTTTGTAGGATGTCCAGCATATAACAGTACACAGCAGCAATGGTCCTCCAACCGCTGGGTGTGAGTGGCAGAAAAGCAGAATTGGGATGAGATGGAAGAAATAAAATAAATATAGGAAATTCAGAAGTCCATTAGGAACAATATTTCTCAATGAGCAATTTTAGCATTCTTGTCCCTTTATCCCTGACTCCTGATTGGTATATGCTTTTGTTATTTTCAAATGACAAATTCTCACATCACTAGAAGATGCTGATCTGTGAACCTTTAGCAAATGTGCTACCCACCATTGTCGTGGGCTTTGAACTGGGTCTTGAGTGGAAATGTGGAACTGGCTATTTGTTCACATACTCCTGCCCCATGAACCTTTAGTAATGGCAAAAAAAAAAAAAAAAAAAAAATCTACCAGATGGCTACCAGGGGTACACTCTGTGGTCAGTCATTTAGTAGCCATTATTCAGAGCCTACTATGCCATTAAATAGCAAACAGCTCTCTGGATCTCAGAGAGTTGTTAGAGCTGAGCTAACAGCAAAGTCACAGCTTCTAACAATAGTAACCAATCCTGGTAGGAGGACAGTTATTAATGCAAAACCTTCCCAATTTAGATTGCTAATTAGGGTCTACCTTTGATAAACATGGAGGGGAAGGAAATAATGAAAGAGAATTTAGTAAACATACAGTCCAACCACTTGAGAAAATATGACAAAAATAAAAGTTGTAGATTTTATCCTTTCTCTCTTAACAAAAGACTTATAATTTTGCTACAAATTGTATAGATGTGACCGCCCCCCACCAAAAAAAAACCACACAAAACTATGACAAGTTGGAGGAAGAAGAAATGCTGTCCATCCTGAGTTAAGCAATGCCTAGGAGGAATCCCTAGAGCTAAGGACACATATATGGAGCAGGTGGGGAGAAGATGAAGAGATACTGACATGGCTAGGCTCCAGGAAAAAGGGACAGTGAAGTATGGCCTGCAGCTATGGGAAACTACTATCCAGGAAAACAAACAAACAAACAAACAAAATCCAACAAAAACGAGGCCTGGAATCTAAAGCATTATGGGATACGACCATTAGTCCTACTTTAGAAATACAGTACAAATGCACTAAAGCATTCATTATGAAATCAGAGCCTCTACATGAGAAGACCTGGAATTGGAATATTAAAGGGGGTGAAGAGGAGAGCATGCTGGCACGCCTCGCTCTGCTACATGCAGTTTCTGAACTGTGATGCACAACAGAGAACCAGGACAGGAAGGATCTGATTAGAAAGGAAAATGAGAAGCAGAGCAGCACTGCGGAGAGGAAAGAAGAAAGTTTGATTCCTAGCAATTAATTAATTAATCTAGCTTTTTTTTTTTCACTTGGAGAAGGTGGGAAGTAGGGAAAATATAAAAAGAGAACTCCTTAATTGCAAGTCACCCAGAGAAAACACATTCAATAGAGAAACTTGGGATGAGTGAAGGAGCATGAAGGTGAATTCAGCCCTGCAGGAAGAAGAGCTTACACCAGGCCAGGTATGGAGGCCCCTTCTTTTCCACATGCTACAGATTCCATATCTTGGTCTAGATACAGTCACCCTGGCTGTAATGATACCTCCGGTCTTTTTTTTTTTCTGTCACCTAGAACAGGCTAGGAGAAAGGAGGAGCAAAGACCCCATGGTTTCTGAAATCCCATAAAAGCAAAGTTGTAATGACTTCTGTGACCCTCTTTTTTCCTCCCCTGAAACTATAATTAGACATTAAGTTCCCAAACCTCTATCACCCTAGCAGGTTTTTAATAGACCCTTAGGGGTATCCAGTCCCTTGCTGTCTTATCTCATTTCATTAATTACATTTCATGATCACTGAGGGTCAGGAGGTGGAGGAAGAACCAGCATCCAATTTCAGGGAGCAGCGGCAATCTCAGATACAGGCAAGTGAGATGATGCTAAAAAAAATCAATTCAGCAGTCAGCTGTGACACACGAATGGCTCCCAGTAATAGGGTGAGGATGAGCCAAGTACAGATGCAGGTACGGAATGAAACATTTTGATCCCTCTGTGTGCAGCAGTGCACTGGGATAGCTGCAGTGATTGTGGTGTAAGCTCGCTATGGGTCGGGAGAAGTCTCTGGGGAATCGCAGCCAAACATGGAGACTAGACAGTTTGGGACTAAAATGCATGGAGTGTTGCTTCTCAAAGTTGGTTTGTCAAGTGCTATAAGGCTTAGATGAATAAAAAAAGGGACTCCCTTGGGGACGCTTGCAGAGAAGAGTAGGACCTTGTTTATCTGGCAACTTCAAGTATCCAGAGAACACAAATGAGATAAGTGAGCATAAGAGCCTCTGCATAGTCTACAGATGAAATAAACACCATGCCTCAAGGTTCATTGTTATCGGGAACAACACACCTCACAAAAAAGACTTTTCACACTTGCTTTAGGATCAAAGCTAATCAATTTGGTTATTTGATTTCCTGGTGTGGTAGTTCAGTTTCAAAAAAGGAGTCTATTTCTTCTGCCCTTGAATCTAGTCCAGCTTAGTGACTTGTTTTAGCCAATAAAAGGTAACAGAAGCGACAGAATGCCAGTTCTAATCTGCAAGAGTTTTGCATGCTTCTGTTCTCTCTCTTGGAATCCCACTATCCCCATGTGGAAAAGGTCAAACTAGTCTGCTGGAGGGTGAGAGACCATATTAAGGAGTGCTCAACTGTCCCAGCTGAGGCCATCCTAAACCAGCAGAAGCCAAACATGTGAGAGAGCCCAGCCAAGATCAGCAGAGCTGCCTCGCCAACCCATAGCCACATAGAGAAACATGGCTGAGACCAGTGGAGCCAGGTGGCACATAGACATGTGAGCAATAGTAAAAGCCTATTTTTTAAGCCACTGAGTTTTGGGGTGTTTTGTTACTCAGTGACAGCTAACTGATACACATGGTATGCTACAGATTGGAAAGCAGGGGTTGGGTGTTGGGGGGAAGGGTTAGTAGAGAAAGCAGACAGACAGACAACTAAAAGGCAGAAACAGGAATTCAAAGAATATTATTATCTGGGGCCATTTAGGGAAGGGGAAGCAGGGCACCTTATAAGATCCTGACCACTGACAGTTTTAAAGCATAATAGAAGACTACTGACTCTTGAGTCATCTAGCAAAATTAACTGAAATGTAGTGTCCTTTTATTAGGAAGTAAAGTGGATGAACCATATTTAAGAAACACTGCCATTAAAAAATAGTTAAAATAGGCCGGGAGCGGTGGCTCATGCCTGTAATCCCAGCACTTTGGGAGGCCGAGGCGGGCGGATCACGACGTCAGGAGATCGAGACCATCCTGACTAACATGGTGAAACCATGTCTCTACTAAAAAATACAAAAAAATTAGCCAGGCTTGGTGGCAGGTGCCTGTAATCCCAGCTACTGAGGAGGCTGAGGCAGGAGAATGGTGTGAACCCGGGAGGCGGAGCTTGCAGTGAGCCGAGATTGCACCACTGCACTCCAGCCTGGGCAACAAAGCAAGACTCCGTCTCAAAAAAAAAAAAAAAAAAAAAGTTAAAATAAAAAGCTTAGGGTGTTAAGTGTCATTTATCTGAGACACTCATGTGTGTGTGTGCAGAGACAATACATTCTGCAACAAAAATTGGGTAACAGCTCAGAAAGCCTTTTGTGTTGCTTCCAGGTGCAAAAGGCAGCCTAGGAAATGCAGTTTGGTTGCCACGATGCTGGCATTTTGGGGACACTTAAGCACTCAGGAAGACAATGGACAGAATATTTGGAACTGGGATGATCTGAGAAATTCTGTGCAGAAGAGCAAGTCTTTTCTCCCGCAAAGCCCCAGATTAGTGATGGCGTGTGAGGCAGTGGAAGGAGACATGCAGTGCAAGGTCAGCCTTGGGCAGCCTGCAGAGATCTCTGTGTGGGAGACTGGGGGGAGACAGAGGGTGCAGGAAAGAATTGCATTAGCAGCCTCCCTCCTTGGCCTGCCCTTTGTTTGCTCCTTTAAGCACCATATATCCAGTTCATTCTGTCTCATGGCCTTGAATTCTGCTCTCTTCCAAAGCACAAGTTAAGTGTCATGCTGGAAAATAATTATTATTCACATTCCCAGTGTGCAGACTGAGTCCCAAGGACTGGACCATACTTTTGCCATGCATGAACTCATTAATCCTATAATTTAAATACAACTACTATCTCCCCTCTAAAGAGGTAAAAACAGGCACCGAGAGAAGAAGCCACTGGCTTCATCAGTTAGAAAACAGGAAATGGCAGGGGTAGGTTTCAAACCTCGATGGTCGGTTTCAGACCCATCCCCTAAACTGTCTGTTCTGCCCCTTTAGTTTGCAAAGTTCCCTTTTTCCCTCCCTGCTGGTCTGGATGCACCCTTTAGTCCAACCCTGACTGTAGACATCCCAGAGCCCAGCCTCGCTGTCCCCAGCCCTCCTGCCTCTCCTCACTATTAGTTCTCACAGAACTGGGTGAAAAATGATGAAGACCTTTCCTGGGGGATGCGGTTTCCTGGGGGATATGGAATTGCCACTTATCACCTGGAGCAGGCCCAGGGAAGCCAGATCAGGATGGGGATGTGGATGTGGATGTGCGTGCCCACCTGAGAGAGCTCAGCCTGCATCTCTGGCAGCTTCTCACCAGCTGCCAGCACCTCCTCCCTGGCCCCATCTTCACAGAGCCACTGACAGGCCCGGCTCCCAGCTGCTTTATCTCCAGCTAACACGCGTCTCCTTTCCCTCCTCCTCCTTATCTGGGGGTTTCCTTGTGGCTCTAATGAAAAACCCTCGTGTCGCATTGAAAAGTTGCCAGTTATTGCTGCTGGGAATAAAATCCAGCCTCTGCCGGGCAGAGACTCATGAAAGCTTCTAGCTGGGCACCGAGGAGTAGCCAGTTGGAATAATCCTTCAATATGAGCAGCCTCTCAAGCATAATTAGGTGGTACCAGGTGGGGCCCCTCCCTGACAGCAAGGAAACAAACAAACAATAGGATGGGCCGGGCTCCCCGCCTCCACCTTGGTTTCCTCCATTCCTTGGACTCTCTGCACACCTGCCCTGGAGTCTGCCTCCCTCATGCTGACAGGTTCAGGCTCTTTCTCTGCATCCCAAAGATATAACAAATTGGATGTGAGCTCTCAGGTCAGCCTGAGTAGCAGGCAATGGCTTCACCGGATCCTGAAAGACCAGATCAGTCCACTTGAAGATTATCCAGAATGTGGATTTCTTGGCTCAACCCTGGAACCACTGAATCTGAATCCCTAGGGCTGAGGCTTGGGAATTTCCATTTTTTAACCCCCTCCCTCACCTGGATTACGGTACTTAGAACCACTGGACCTGAGCAAATAGATCCAAAGAAACAGATGCTCCCATATATACGCTCTTTCTAAATTGCAAACCCTAAAGAGCTCTTCCACCTTCCAAGGCCAGACATGAGCATTGCTAGCACACCGACCCTCAAAGTATACTAGGACAGCCATTTCTGTCCCTAGTTCACAGAGAAAGAAGCTCGTGGTTCCTCACAGGCCATGGATGACACCAAGAGAGTTGAGGCCATGCTGCTGTTTCACTCACAGCCACCTTTCTGGGGCAAAGGAACCACAGTGAGACCTAAAAAGCATTTTCAGAGCCTGGTACTCTGGCCAGAAGCCACACATGATGAGAGAGGAGGTATGAGGTGATTCTGCAGCCTACACAGCTAGCTGAAACAGCGACTCCAGAGTGATCAGTACCTCAGTGTAAGCTGAGCTCCAGCCAGGGCAACTTTCCAGCACATTTGCATAGAAAAAGCAGGAGTGTCAGTCATTCTCAATGGGAGTGACTTTCACCCCACCCAGGGGACATTTGGCAATGTCTGGAGACATTTTTGGTTCTCACAGCTGTGGTGGTGGGGGACTACTGGCCTCTAATGGGGAGAGGTCAGGAATGCTGCTAACTATCCTATAATTCATAGGACATTAAGAACACAACAAGGAATTATCTGGCTCAGAATGTCACTAGTGCCACAATCGAGAAACCCTGGAATAAAGACGTGAGCCCAAGTCCAGGGATGTCCTTAGCCCCTGAAGGTAGGGTATTCAATCAGACTCTTTGTTTGGGGTTGGAGTTTTTATACCTTCCATTTGTTGTAATTTATCTAGAAAAAAGATGTGAATCAACCCAGGAGCCAGCAGAGAAAGGCTTACAGGCTTATAGATGGCTCTCACAGCCAGCCCCCTGTAGGAGCTGGGCTTAAAAGACTCAGTTTATCTGACATCCAATAAATACCAAGACCCAACTTAAGCTCTTGATTCCTTAAGCAATTGGTCATTGCTTTAACGGTAGCATATGGATGAATAAATGTTCACTACTGAGCTGCCTGGTTAGATTTATTCCATATAGATTCCCCATGTGGTCTCCCATCTTCACGGAAGAGTTAAAAAAACAGACCATTTAGTTGATAAAATTGAGTCTCCCATGAGTTAACGGAGTGGAACTAGCTACTGGTGCAGAATGAAGCACACACACCGCTGTGGAAGCCAGGCTGGAGGGGCCAAATATTTTCTTTACAGCTGATTCGATGCAGTTCAGTGGTTGATGGCGTGTGGAGGCGGAACACTTCCCGATGATCCAGTCCCCTCCTGTCTATGCAGCCAGCACCTCAAAGGACACACATAATTTCTTTTCCCCTATAAAGTGAATCTGGGCATTTTATAGCTGAAAGGGGAGCAATTTCCATTTGAATTAATCCAGAGGCTGAAGGCAAAGGTGCATTATGTAGCTTTAAAGGACATTCTTCCTTGATTGACAAGGTCCCGTGGCCACCCCCTGTAAAGCCTTAGCAACGGAACATTTCTTGACATCACTCAAGGGAGGTCTGTTATCTTAGTTATACTCACATGGAGCCTGTGGGTTTTTCTGCACCCCAGTCTAAGGAATAACTACAGTCTAACTCTTGGCATTGAACACATTCGTTAACCATAACCCTGTAACATTTCTTCCCTGTTAAATTAGAAGAAAGTAGTAATATTATTAAAGGAAAACATACCTTTCAGCCACTTTGGACATTTTCAAACAATGTCTGTCGATCTGTGCGTTCAAAAATGTTATCTGGGAAAATAGAGAACACAGATGTTAAGACCAAACTAAAATTATTTTTTTCCCCTCGCTCCACAAACCCAAATCCTGCATTTCCACCAAGATCCAAATACCTCCTCTGGCCAGACATCTCCAACTCCCTCAGCTCTGCCCTCCAGCAAATTACTTGTGCCTCTGGACATCCCTATCATACAAGATTCATATTCTGCAATTTAGCCTTTGTCTCATCTCCTCCTATACTGTGGTGTGATTTAAGTCTTGCTTTCCAAAATTTAAAGGCAATGTATTTTCTACGTAGCTTAGCAACAGCATGGACAGGTGAAATGTGCCCCATAAATACCTGTTTTGAACAATCCCCAGTGACCCCTCCTCTGCCCACCTTTCACAGGCACGTCACACCCATGTCCTTGGCATGCTTGACTGGAATCATCAAATAGCTTTTTTTCTGTGTGGTTTTTTTTTCTTTTTTTCTTTTTTTTTTTTGAGACAGAGTCTCATTCTGTTGCCTAGGCTGGAGTGCAGCGGCATGATCTCAGCTCACTGCAACCTCCACCTCTCAGATTCAAGTGATTCTGCTGTCTCAGCCTCCCGAGTAGCTGGGATTATAGTCACACGCCACCAAGCCCGGCTAACTTTTTTCTATTTTTAGTAGAGATGGGGTTTCATCATATTGGTCAGCCTGGTCTCAAACTCCTTACCTCAGATGATCCACCTGCCTCAGCCTCACAAAGTGCTGGGATTACAGGTGTGGGCCACCGAGCCCCGAGCCCCGCCAAATAGCTTTTTTTTTTCATATATCCATTACCTCTTACCCATCAGATAATAAACTTGTCAAGGGCAAGCACCTCAAAGTTTACTCCTTTGGGTTTTGCCCTCTAGGAACCAGCAAGGCATAATATAAACAGTAGGTTGCTTTGTTACCAGTAAATATCAGAAGGAAGTAATATAATTAGCCATTGTCTGTTGACCTGGGCTGCTCATCATGAAAGAAAATAACATTCAACCAAGTAATGCTGAAATGGCATTGGGAGTAGAGCTTTATTTATTCTTAAACTTTCCTTTCAAATCACAGCAATAAAGTAGACCATCCTGAGCTGGTGCATTCCAATTATAAGGACTGTGTGACATGAGCCCCCTCCTTCCTCCAGCTCCCACAGCGGACTGTGGGAAACCCCATTACAGCAGTTACCCCAAGGCATGGGATGACTCATTTACGCCCTTTTCTAGTAACTGCTGGAGGAACTGGGTAGAGAATTCTTTCTCTCAAGCTTCCGTGGCTTGTTCACACACAGCACTTAAAAGGTTCAATCACCCACAGCTGGGTTCCACTGTGGTTTCCAGGAACTCAAAGCTTGCTCAATCTTCAGAGTTGAACATTTGAAAGGGTTTTTAAACTGGCCACGTCTCCTCCTGAGAGTGCAAGCTGTCAATTCATTCACCTGTTTCCGGATGTCCTCTTTTGTTGTTTTCCTGATTGGTTGGCTGAGTACATGCACCGGGCTCTGTGCCTGGGACTCTTCAGTCACGCCATACACGGACTAGGAGAAGAAGCAAGCACAGAGGATCATCCACCCACAGAATTGGAGGGTGGCTTAGGGGTCAGCTAGTCCAATGACTCATCCAATTTCGTGAATCCCCTCATGACAATAAGAGATTGGTCTCTGCTTTTATTTCTTCAATGATGAGAATGCTGCCTCTTAAGGCATGTCATCTCATCTTTGGGGTACCACTATAACCCAAATCCTATCTTTTATTGGGCTGAAAATAGCCTCCTTGTATCTCAGTGTTTCTCCAAATATGGTCCATAGACCACCTGCAAAGAATCACCTGGGTGTGCTTGGAAAAGACACGTTGCTGAGTATCCCCTCGCCCCCTGGACTTACTGCATCAGAATCTTTGTGGGTGGGTTTGGAAATCTGCACTTTTATCAAATGCCCCAAATGATTCTGAATAAAGAAAGTTCAAGAGCCACTGCCAAAGAGTATGCACAAAAGATCCCCTCTACATTTCCGTTGGTCAGCAGATTCCCATCTGGTACAAAACTGGGATGGCAGCATTTCAGGGTTTCCCTTTCAAGTTAAACAGTTTTCTGGCCTAAGTTTTTCCACATGTCCGTAGCTATAGCTACATTTAAAGCTGTTCCTCGTATTACGGAAAGACTAAACACAATCTTTGCAATGGGAAAGAAATGAAACACTGAAGGGCATGCAATGTGTAGTCAAAATCATCAAAATGCAGAAGGGCTCAGATAAGGTGGATGTGACTCCATGAAATTCTGTAATGTTAGAATTATGGGGCTCTTGAAGATGAAATGAGGACATTTTAGGACTAACATTTTAAAATATAATACAGTGGATATTGTTAAGTCAGTGACGAACAAAATATGTAAGTAGATTAAAGAAGTTTATATACATACGCCATGTCTAGTGTGTGTGTGTGTGTGTGTGTGCGTGTATTTTTTTTTAATGCATACATGAGAGAGAGCTAATTGGTCATCACAAGAAATAGGAATGTTTGGGGACACATCTCCACTCTTTGGAATTTTTTTTTGAGATGGAGTCTCGCTCTTGTTGCCCAGGCTGGAGTACAATGGCGCGATCTCTGCTCACTGCAACCTCTGCCTCCTGGGTTCAAGCGATTCTCCTGCCTCAGCCTCCCAAGAAGCTGGGATTACAGGTATGCACCACTGTGCCCAGCTAATTGTGTATTTTTAGTAGAGACGGGGTTTCTCCATGTTGGTCAAGCTGGTCTTGAACTCCCGACCTCAGGTGATCCGCCCACCTCGGCCTCCCAAGTGTTGGGATTACAAGTGTGAGCCACCGTACCTGGCCCACTCTTTGGAAATTAATATTACGGAGTCTGGTCATGCTGTCCTGCAATATTGTCCCTGGTGCTGTGGAGAGGGTGGGACATATGAATCGTGGGGGAGTCTGAGCATGGCACCCTCGGGTATGCTGTGACCACTACTCCTTTGAGTAAAGTGAAACACAAGTGACCACTGGGTCATTCACAGTTGGACAAGATGGTGGTTTGAGTTTGGGTGATCCAGCTCTATCCAAAAAAAAAAAAAAAAAAAAAAACCATAAAAAAGACTTTTATTTGCTTCTAAGTATAAAGCTTGCTTTCACCTGTGAGCTTTGCCACTTCTTGCTCCTTTTGTTTCCTCCCCTCCCTGCCACCTCCCCAGGACAACTGCAACTTACCCTTCAGAACACCTGACCCTCTTTCAGGAAGCCCTTGGGAAGCCCCCCACCCCCACCCACTCCAGGTCTGGCTTAGCTGCCCCTCCTGGGCTCCTCAACTGTCCTGTACCTCTCCTAACACAGCATTCATGGCCCTGTTGCCTGTTGGCTTGTTTTACTCCTGCCAGGCTGTGGGCTCCATGAGGACCTGCCACTGTATCCTAGCACGAGCACAGCGCCAAGCATGCATCAGCTGCTCAATCAATATTTGTGAAATGGTTATGGTTTCAAATGACAAAAGGTGGTAGAATTACAAGTAGCAAATTACTATTTGAATAGTACTAGAACTGGAAGGGCTATTCACATCAGGAATTTTTAACTCAGCTAAACTAGCGAACCTTTTTAACCTTTTGTGGATTCTTCAAACGTCGACATTTTCGGATATCCATTTCTGTTGTGTTCACACAGCCTGGCTGAGAAAAAAAAAACACATCATATAAATTACTACGTGAAAATTACACTTCCAATTTAGCCCATGTCACACCATCAGGACCAATCTTTATCTTTTTCCATTACAGACAATGCATGATTTTTTTTTCCATTTTGCCATAATATGCATTCCTCTGTGGAGTTCCCATACGATCTAGAAAAGCTTACCTCATAATCTAAGGATGATATGTAGAGGGTATAGTGTACAGTTTCTAAGAGCAAATTAGCTATTTAAGTGGCAAGATTGCCTCAGACACAGTCCTTAAAATTTTTTTTTACATACTTAACCGTTTGAAAAAGACTCCACGATATCAGGATGAGTAGCTATTTATTTATTTTTTGCTTTTAATCAAATTTTAAGAAGACCAATAATTTATTTTTTAGTTCCATTTCATGAGGAAAATGCAAGATTTGTTTTAATAACGTGAAATCAGAAATACAGTCAAACCTCATTATTTACAAATTTTGCATTTGTGAATTTGCCTGCTTGCTAAATTTCATTTATAACTCCTTACTCAGTAGTTGTACCTTGAGTAGCCTGATATGTGTGTTTCCCACTGAAATTGAACAAGGTGACGTCCTGCCTTTTTGTTTCAGACCCTTCTATTTAGGGCTAATTTAGTGCCAACTTTTCTGCATTTCTGTACTTTTTGTTGGTGATTTTGCTGTTTAAAATGGCCCCAAGGACAGTGCTGAAGTGCTGTTCACCATTCTCTGATGTGCCTTAGGAGGAAATAAACATGCAGGCATGAGCAACAGTGCTGTTGGCCATGAGTTTAATGTTAATGAATCAATGATATATATTACATAAGCTGTCTTTATACAGAAACACATTTAAAAGGTTATGTATCGATCAGCTGATAAAAATGTTGTGGCCACAGGCTCACGGGGACCTAGCTTGGTAGTTCCCACGGGAGTGATGCTTCAATGTGCGCTAATTCAGTGTTTGCAAAGACTTTATAGAACATAACTGCCATGGATAACAAGAATTAACCGTATTCGACAGAGAATAGTTGAAGATTCAGAGTTGAATAGCAGTGGAAATGGAAATTGTTAATTTGGGGAATGTAAACCTTCGGGACACAAAGGTCTTTTGGTGGAATTCCCATAGCTTCTCCATTTGCAATTCCATATTTTCAGGAATGAATAATTTTTTTTTTCCCCAGAGATGGAGTCTCGCTCTGTTGCCGAGGCTGGAGTGCAGTGGTGCGCTCTCGGCTCACTGCAAGCTCCGCCTCCCGGGTTCACACCATTCTCCTGCCTCAGCCTCCCGAGTCGCTGGGACTACAGGTGCCTGCCACCACGCCCGGCTAATTTTTTTGTATTTTTAGTAGCGACGGGGTTTCACCGTGTTAGCCAGGATGGTCTTGATCGACTGACCTCGTGATCCACCCACCTCGGCCTCCCAAAGCGCTGGGATTACAGGCGTGAGCCGCCATGCCCGGCCGAATGAATAATTTTTAAAAGGTGGAACTTACATATATTCCAGAAAATTTACTGAGATTATATAAATGAATGGCGAAACCAGTTCCACAAAGCTGAGCGATTTTCTTAAGAATGAGACACCTGGTGGCTAAAGACGGTCTTTTCTTTATAGAGATAAAAATGAACAATTAAGAAAAAAAAATCTAGAGAATTGAGTAGCGCTTTCTCACCACAGGCCTGTGGACATCCCAAAAGGCTCGTTCTTGACTATCCAAAATTTTCCTTTCTGTCTTGTCTTTTTTCCGGTCAATCCTGAAAGAGTAAAGAGAGGAAGGAAATAAGAAGCTCTGTATTCTGTTTTCCCTTCTGACACTTGCTCCAGCGTTTGCTCCTGTTGCTAGGGGCTAAGTGAACACAAGGCCATTGGTACCTGCATGGTGCCTGCTCTCTGCAGAGCTGTGAAATAGGGGTGTATAATTCCCCCCCCGAAAACCTCAGGAATTCCACACATGGTAAGAGAACTTGTTTTAGGCTAGATTACAGATTGCCATACATGTGTAATGAACATGGTGGCCTAAGGGAAGAATAAGAATGCAGCTGTTCATCTGAAGTATTAAGATTTGGATTATTAAAAACTGAATTATCCATTGATATGCCCCCTTATCAAAAAGGATACTGCATATACAAATTATAAGATGGAATGTAACCACCATCTTGCCAGTGTTCCATGTTCAAATTTGAAAGTTTGCTTTAGATTTAGAATCAGTAGAAATAAATGTCTTTAAAATGCTGCAATTATGTGTTTTATAAGTCACTTACACCATCTGGCTTTCTAAAGGCAGAATAATGGCCCTAGAATGAGACAAGATCCAGGAGGCAAATATCACTGGCCTCAGCTGGGGGAGGCACAAATTGCAAGAGGGAAATTGCAGGTGACAAAGACAGATTCTTATTGTTCTGATCTGCAGCATAGATAAGAGGTTTTTTCTTTTTCTTTCTTTTTTTTTTTTTCTTAAAAAAGCATGTATTACTTCATTTTATTTCAAGTAAAAAGCAACTCAGATTAATTGCCGTGTAACTCCTAGGTCTCGGCTCTCTCGGGAACGCTTTACTTTACTGGACTGAAATAAACCCATAATCACCCTGCGATTTTTGTGATAATTACTGTGTACTTAGGTGGCCCACAATTATAATGTAATCACAGAGTTAATCAAAAAAGTTAATCGAGAAATACCATGTATTTATGAAGTAACAATTTCCCCTCTGTTTATAACTTGTGATGCTGTTTGATTCTGGAAGAACAAATTAGCGTTCCTCTTTGCTTTCCAGTGGCTTCTGAGTACACAGGCATAATTCTGCCTTAGTCCAGTTGAATCCCAGCCTCCATCCTACCTACTCTCCCACCTGCACCTCTTCGGGGGCACCCAGTGCCTGGTACCCGCCTATCCCCGGGGGGCTGCTGGGTGGTCAGGAGGTGGCTGGCATCATGGACAGGAGAAAGGCAGAGACTGTGGGGGGAGGTTCACAGCAATGGCAGTGTACAGGCCACTGGACCAGATGGCCTCAGGTCACTTCCAACTGTGACCATAGCTGTGATGAGTCTACACCCACACAGCCTGAGACCCGGCTCCAGGCCACGGGCTGCAACATCGCCCAGGAATGTTGCTCTGAAGACTCAGCGGCTGCTCACATGCAGGTGGTACCCAGAGGAAACATAGTCCCATTCTCCCAGCTTAGCATCCCTTTCCTGCTCCTGTCCCACTTCTCCTGTTAACTAACCATCCTGGCTAACCTAGACATCATCCCTGGGAGGGACAGGGGAGATCCAGATCCAATCATTCTGTTTCCCAGAATTAAATGGATCTGGTTGACAACGATGTTTGTGGGGTGGGGAACATAGAGTACCCATTCCTCATGTTTCCTTAGAGAGGAAGAAATGTCCACTATGTATCCAGGAGAAAAAAATCTGGGAAAAACCCTTCCAACTTTTTTCTTCCTTTCATCTCTTGTCCTTTGTGGAGGAAAAATGACTTAACTAATTGGTAGACTTGAAAGAAGAAATTGAAGAAGTTCAGACTCTCCCTCTCTGGGCCCCCATCTGGGTCAGCCTGTGCTCAGGATAGCTGCTCTCTGCATGCAGAAAACTTACAGGGGTCACCTATGCCCTGGTGGGGTGGGGTGGAGATGCTGGGGAGAGGAGGCCTATAGATACACACCTCTGTACAGGAAGGGCAGATTTAATTTTCACCTGGGGCCACATATCCAGTGTCACGCCCTATAATCTTGTTTTTTTTTTTTTTTTTTGAGAGGGAGTTTTGCTCTTGTTGCCCAGGCTGGAGTGCAATGTCACGATCTCAGCTCACTGCAACCTCCACTTCCCGGGTTCAAGCAATTCTCCTGCCTCAGCCTCCTGAGTAGCTGGGATTACAGGCATGTACCACTATGCCCAGCTAATTTTGTATTTTTAGTAGAGACGGGGTTTCACCATGTTAGTCAGGTTGGTCTCGAACTCCTGACCTCAGGTGATCCACCCCCACCTCGGTCTCACAAAGTGCTGGGATTACAGGCATGAGCCACCATGCCCAGCCTTACTCTTGCTTTTAATTAATGTAATAATCTGATATTTTGGACTCCAACTGTCTGACTTCTGTGCCTTCTTTTTCTGTTGGTTCTAAACTCCTCCCCTGTCAGGGAAAAGAAGACAGGGGCTACTTGTTGTTCTTCCTAAAACTCCAACCTGTTTTCCCATGAAGACAAAATCTCCAGTCCAACGGGTAAAATGGGATTTCAGCCTTTGAACACAGAAAATAACTGGAAATCTCTTGGGGAAATAGGTACACCTTCTTATAACCAGAGTTCTACCTTTGGGAGGATCTCCCTTGTCTGCTGAAACACACATTTCTGAAATTGCTTTAGAGAAGCATTGATTATGAAGACAAAACTTATCCATCCTGACTTTAATTTCTACTCAGTTGCTCTCAGGCCCTATTAGAAATACTAACGCCATCTGGAAACTTCACTTTGACAATCCCACCTTCACACCATTTCCAAATTCCAGAGTCTTTTCCTCTCTGAAAAGGTCTCTATCAAGTTCACCTACTTTACTTGTGCTTCTGCTTGCATAAAGATGAATTCCCACTTCCTCGCAAAGGCCCTCTGGAGTCTTGCTAAGTTTTCCTAATGAGAAATGAAAATCAACAAGGCGGCATTAATCATCGTAAATTAGCACATCGACACCTATGCTTATTATAAGGCATCCATCAATTTTGGTTACTTCCAACAAAATAGCAAGACCTGCTTTAAATCCCCTGGACATGTATCCCATTTGACTTTGCGCCAGACCCTCCGTACAGAGCTGAACTATTAATATTCATTTACACACCCATTAAGTCTGAAGTCTCTATGGTTCACCTGATTCCTCTCTTCATGAAGGTGTTTTACAAGAATGCAACTCACACAGCACTTGTTTCAAAGGTTGCTGAAAATCGGGAAAATTGTCTGTGGTTATTGGGGAATTAACGAGTCTTTGCCACCTGCTGGTATCTCCAGGAGCAAAACCAAAGGCTGGATTTCTCAGGACTCCTCTTCCAGTGGGGAGCTGGGAAGGACACAGGAAAGGAAAACCAAAGGGACCTGGCTTTCATGCTTTTTCTAATGTCAGGATTCAAAGTGGCCGAGGCTGAGTGTGGTGACTCACACCTGTAATCGCAGCATTTTGGAAGGCCAAGGCAGGTGGATCACCTGAGGTCAGGAGTTCCAGACCAGCCTGGTCAACAGGGTGAAACCCCATCTCTACTAAAATTACAGAAATTAGCTGGGCATGGTGGCAGGTGCCTGTAATCCCAACTATTTGGGAGACTGAGGGAGGAGAGTCGCTTGAACCCGGGAGGTGGGGAGGTTGCAGTGAGCCGAGATCCTGCCACTGCACTGCAGCCTGGGCAACAAGAATGAAACTGTTTCAAAAAAAAAAAAAAAAGTGCCCCAAACGGAGTGTCTACGTTTGTGATGTTCATGAAAGAAAAAGCCCAAAACAGAAAGAAAAGTCATTGAGGGCTGCCGTTAGAGAAAAAGAAAAGTATTTTCTCTAAGTCTGTAGAGTTACCTAATGGAACATGAGGATGGGCGGCGAGGAGGGGAGTTTGACAGGCGCCCTAATGATCCTCCTAATTCTGATGAATGCAAGGCCGGAGCCCATATTATGCTATGTATTTTCATAGAGCTCATGCCAACACGAATTGATTACCCTCATTAATGGATTATTAATATAAAAGGAGCTTCAGTTGGAGAGTACCACACATGAGCTCACAGTTATCACCCAGGCTTGGTGTGAAAGTACTTCTAAAAACTGTCTTTGTGACTCTTCCACTGCTCATAGGAAGCAAAACTGGTAATGCCTAAATGTCAATCAACTGTGACACAGTCATAGCATAGAATTCTAGGCAGCCATTAAACACAATAACGTAGATTATAGTTACTGACATGGTAAAGACCCCGAGATACCTACAGTATAATGACTGGGGAAAGAGAAGCAGCTGCCACAAGAATGTTTATGTTATGATTCTGATATAGTTTTGTAAAGAAAAAAATGTATGCATAGAAAAAACTTAGGTGAGGGGGAGTCACAGGTTATATTCTCTCCTTTCTTTGCTGTTTGAATTTTTGTTTTTGTAAAAAGAATATGTAATCAGAAAATTCATAAAAAAATTATTGCATTTTGGAAGCAAAATGCTTTTTTGGTTTTGAATCATTTTTGTGCAGAACTTCAACCTGAGAGCACATCTCAATGCCATATTCTTTTTTTTTTTTTTGAGACGGAGTCTCGCTCTGTTGCCCAGGCTGGAGTGCAGTGGCACGATCTTGGCTCACAACCTCCGCCTCCCAGGTTCAAGGGATTCTCCTGCCTCAGCCTCCTGAGTAGCTGGATCTACAGGCGTGTGCCACTAGGCCTGGCTAATTTTTTGTATTTTTAGTAGAGACGGGTTTCAGCATGTTAGCCAGGATGGTCTCGATCTCCTGACCTCGTGATCTGCCCACCTTGGGGATTACAGGCATGAGCCACCATACCTGGCCTCAATGCCATATTCTTTACAAATACCAGAGCAGAACATTAAGGGACAAGAGAAGAGAAATTGAATCAAATACAGCAGGAGTTGATGCTGTCTGATTTCTGTATGGGACCTTTTTCCAAAACATTGAAAATATGGGGAAGAGACACACAGGAGGGAGGGGCCCCAGGCTTCTACTGTCTGGGCCTTTCCTCAAGGTTGTGTTAAGGAGGTAATGTCATCATGTCAAAGCTACTTGCACTGGGCGCACAAAGAGTACAACAGCAGTCTTTTGAAGGAGGGGTGCTGTGATTGCTGGGCATTGGGGCAGACAGGGGCATGACTGGGCTCCCAGGATGTCCAGAGCCACAGAACAACCAGGCCAAGGTTTATCTGGGGAGATCATAATATTCCAACATATGATCATCTGATAATGCAAACTCTAGCCAGGTCCTGAGGGCTCTGGACAAACTGCTGCACTGCTTCTTCCTCTTCTGGCCCCCTGCACCCCATTCACAGGTCCACAATGCCAGTGGGATCAAAGAGGTGAAGGACCATGCACACGTCCTGCTCCCCAATGGCATGCGCATTCACACTTGGGCTGTAGAGAGGGGAGCGATGGCCCAGCTGGCTTGGTAGGCTTGGTAGGCTTGGTAGGCTTGGGAACATGAACCTAGGAGAGGTAAGGCCTGGCAGAGTGGGGCCTCACACTTGTTTTGAAAGACTGAGGCAGTAAAAGCAGGAAGGGCTTTGGCGGTGGGTGGGTCTGAAGATGCTGTTAATGCTGGACTATCCAGGGAAGGATTCTCTGCTCCCCTTAATGTTGCCCCTCCTTCCATAGCTGCTGGCCCTTCAGTCATTCATGGCTCAGCAGCACATCCTTTGGAAGACATATAGGGAGAGGGAAGTAGAAGGTATAAGAAAGTTTAGCCAGTTTCTCCCATTCTCTGTGACCCATGTAAAGTTCAGTTTGGGGGAAAAATTTTGCAACCAAAAGTTAAAAAAAAAATTAAATGATCTATGAGTTTTCAAGTGCTTTGGTTTCTGGGCTCTGTCAAATGGGAATGGACCCAAGTTTGGTGGTGGGGCCTCTAATTTTTGCAAGAAGTCTCATCTTATGAAGAAAGATAGAGAAGGAAGGTAAGAAAGCTGGGAAGTAGATACCTCATGTGACACACATCTTGTCTTATTTTCTGAATTGAATTTTACCCTTAGATTCTGCCTCTGCTACTAAGCACAGGAGAGTGGGTATAAAGGTGCAATTTAAAATTTTAATTTGAAATGTTATTATGTAGTAAATTTGACTTTTTTCCTTTTGTACAAGTCTGTAAATTTTAACACATGTATAGATTCATACAACCACCACCACGATCAGGATACAGAACAGTTCCATCACCTTCCAACAATTCCCTACCCCATCCATAACCACTAGCAATCATTGATCTGCTTTTCATCATGATAGTTTTATCTTTTCAAGAATGTCCTATAAATGGAATGGCTGGCCTGAGATTGGTTTCTTTCACCCAACATAATGTTCTTGGTACTCATTCAAGTGGTTGTGTGTATCAACAGTTCATTCCTTTTTACTGCATAGTAGTATTCTATTGTATGGATGTACCACAGTTAGTTTAACCATTCAACTGTTAAAGTGCATTTGGGTTGTTTTCAGCTTTTGGTTATCACAGATTAAGCTTGTATGAACATTAGTTTATAGGTGTTTGTGTGAACATGAGTTCTGATTTCTCTAGGGTATGTATATACAAGTGGGATTGCTTGGTTATATGGTAAGTGTATGTTTAACTTTATAAGAAACTGCCAAGCTATTTTCTAGAGTGGCTGTACCATTTTGCATTACCACTAGCAAAGCGGAGAGTTCCAGTTGTTCTACTTCCTCACCATCACTTGGTATCATCAGTATTTTTTATTTTGGCCATTCTAATAGGTATGTAACAGTATCTCACCACGGATTTAATCTGCATTTCCTAAATGGCTAATAATATTGGACATCTTTTCATGGGTTTATTTATCATCCTTGTGTCCTCTTTGGTAAAATATCTGTTAAGTCATTAGCCTATTTTTAAGTTGAGCTGCTTATTTTTTTATTGTTGAGTTTTAAGAGTTATTTATGTAAAAACACCATCTTATTGTGATGGTCAGAGGAGCTGAGAACAAGGGAGGAGAAATAGAAGATACTTCCCTTCCACTGTCTGAAAGGGACAAAAGGGGGACAAAAGAAAAAAAAAATAAACTTAGACGGAGCTGCAGATATGATTTTACTCTCTTCTTATATGTATCCTGGAAAATAATCATACTTACTGCTTCATAATCTGCCAGTTCCAGCCTTGCTTTATTTTGCATTGTCCTCTTACAGAGATAGATGGCTGAGGGAAGAAAGGAAATGACAACATGTACAAAACCAGCAGCACAATGGAATTATAAGCCCATCCATCCATCTGTCCATCCATTCACCCATTCACCCATCCATCCATCCATCCATCCATCCATCCATCCATCCACCCATCCACCCATCCACCCAACCATCCATCCATCCATCCATCCATCCATCCATCCATCCATCCATCCATCCAGACAGCCCGCCCACCCACCCTTGCTATGTGCCCAGCACTGTCCTGGGAAAAATATGTTTTCTAAGTGGACCTCATGAGCACTGTCCTGGGAAAAATATGTTTTCTAAGTGGACCTCATGACCCCTGACCTCTATAAATCCTTTCATAGTCATGATCAAATGAGGACTCCTCCATATTCCAATCCTGACAACTCCCCTTCTTCCTCCTCACTCTGCTTCACCCTGAACATCCTACACTCAGAGTGATATTTCACAAACATGACCACATTACTCCAGTGCCTAAAAGCTCTGCCTGGAGTCCTCAATGGCCTCAGAAGTAAGGTTGGGCTCGTTAGGATGGCAAATATGGTTCTTTATGATCTGCTCACTGCTTATCTCATCAACTTCTTCTCCCTCATGCAGGCACTGTGAGGCCACCAAACTCTTTTCAGCTTCATTCTTTTGCATATGTGTCCTTTTTGAGGAAAGTCTTTCTCTCTTCTCTCCTTCCCTCTATCTGGCAACCTCTTACTAATCTTTGAAGACCCAAGTTGGTGTTTCAGATAGCATCTACATGTCCTTGACCATGGAACTAAATTCCATTGCACTGAAATCCTGTATTTACTAGACTGTCCCCTGCTCTAGGCTGAAGTCTCTTTAAGGGCAGAGGCTATGTCCTGCTCAGCTTTCATCCCTGTTGCTAGCACCATAGCCTGTCTTGTCAGGTGCAGTAAAAAGGCTATGGAAAGGGAAGACAATTTAGGTCTCTCAACTCAGGCTAAGGAAAGGTTCTTGGCCCCTGGTTTCCCTGTTTCTTCCTCAAACATGGCCTTCATCATCACTTCTTCTCCCTACCTTTCCTTCTTCAATGTCTTCCTCCTTCTCCAGAGCCAAGTGGAACAATCCAGGGAAAACAGTAGATGAATGGCATAAATAAATGAACAACAGAATGATCAAGAGGGAGGGCCAGAGAGAACCTGTGATCATTTTGTTGTTGGACAACAAGATCTCTTTACTAAGAGATCTCTAGTCAACTCTTTGCTGGATCAACCAACTTCCTTCATTTGTTCTGAAAAATTTACTGATACCTATGACATTTTGGAGCCTGGAAGCTAGCAGCCTACCCTCTGGTATGCCCACACTTCTGCTTCCACCCGGCGAATTGTGTGCTCATAGGAGTCAGTTGTGGTTGTTCCCAAATCTGCTTATATCAGGCACATCTGTTATTTTAATCACACAAGTTCACTAAATATCACACGTCTCAATGAAATTAATGTGAAAAGAGAGAGAGTGTTGCTTCTATGAAAACTCAGTTGAATGGTTTGGAACAATTTAATGAAGGAGAGTTAGCTAAGGCAATTGCTGGTGAATTTGATACAGGTGAGATAACAGGAAAAAGTAAGAAAAATAATAAAAATCTAGGAGGGGCCAATATACAAAAGACTACAAAAATGTCTTTACATTCTTGATGCACTTTAAAGATACCAAAACAGGGTAGTTTATTTTGAGTGCGGTTGATTTAAGAAACTAAAATTATTCAGCTCATAATCAAAGAGAACACTTTGGTCCTACTTCACAAGGCTGTCAAATGAGTGTTCCTTTGTATATCTTACCTTTACATGAGGTGCTTAAGGTGTGCATATGTCGTTTTAAAAATGATTTTCTACTTACCAACTTTTCCAATGAACCAAGCAGCTATAGTGCTTCACTGTGTCTGATAAAGGGGTGTCCGATCTATCACAAAGTACCTCCTTCAGTCTCTTGGACCCCTGGCAGAATTAGGGACAACCTCAGGCAGGAAGCTTGACATGTCACCAGCTCGACTGGGCCAGGTCATGATTACCTTTGAGCAGTGCAGGTCAGTGGAGGTGGCAGCTGCTTTGACAATGCTGCCCTGGACAGGATTTTGCACTGGCCAAATGTAAAACTCAGAAAAGGCTAACCTGGATTTGACTGTGGGTTTTATGCAGGCAGAGTCATCCCAAGAAATGTCCAAATGGGTAAGCGGGGTCAAAATGGGACAGCGGGGTTGTGAAGTGAGTTATCATGCATGGAATGCAGAGCTGGGGCCACTCCTGATGGCCATGAGTCACAGGGTCACATGCTACTAGCTAATGTCCCTGTGCCTAAAGTCACACAAGGAATCTTTTCACCACAATGAGGAAGGTGGGATGTGGCTGTTCTTGGCACAGAACTCCCTGGGGCTTGTCTGCATCCCAGAGTGCCCTCACTAGGGCTTGCTCTAACTTCCAACCGACTCTAGTGACTACTGGTGACAATAGCCAGCCCTACAAGAGGGCATCTGGAAGAACTGTCTTAAGCTCAGATATTGGTTTCTCTTGGATATTTAATTTCTTACCGAAAAATTTCTATTTCCTTGTCCTTACATCTGGCATTCCACCCTTACCTATATCTCACATCTCACTCAGAGAAATCCACTGCCATCTCAAGTTCACCATGTGTCACCACACAAAACTGGGACATATTTAAAAATTGTATAAAGGGAACACATTCATGTATTATATGTGCAATTAAATTTCTTAAAAAATATTGAGCTTATCGAGTTTCAATGTACTGAAGAAACTGACCCCTTTCTTTACTTTCTGCCTTTACTAGCAACATCATTATGTACCTCAATCTCCTAAACTAGGGAACCTATAACTCACTTATTTCTCTATTTTCCTCATACTTTCTGATGACTTTTTAGAACCAAAGAATTTTAGACTGGAGGTAACCTTGGCAACCATCAAGTACAGGCCCCTCATTTACAGATGGGGAAACTAAAGGCCCAGAGAAATGAAGTGATGGACCCAAGGGCTAGTTAGTGATGGAGATGGAATTAGAATCGAGGACCAGTGCAGAGTTTCCTCTATGACATTCACCGATCCATTTATTCATTCAGTCACTCATTCAAAAATGTACTGAGTGTCTCCTATGGGCCAAGTACCGTTTTAGGTGCTGGAAAAATCACCATCGTAGCAGCTACTGCTTCCATTGAGCCCACTGAATATCAGGAACTATTTGACTAAGTCACAGCCCTTACTTAATCTTCCACAGTCCACTTAATCCTCATAATAACCCTACTAGGTGGGTTCTGTTATTACCCCCATCTTATAGATGAACCAATTTTTTCCCAAGTAGGGAAAAAACTTGGGAAAGTGTGTTCATTGTTGGGGACCCACAATAGCTTCCCCAAACTGCTGAATCCATTCTAAATGTCTCTACTTGACTGCCAAGGCCTTTTTATAAACCTGCCCCTCCCAAGCTATTCAGCCTTCTCAGTCATTCATCACATAAAACCTTTGAATACTCAAGCCAGATCCTCACCATGCCTTTCTTCCCTGCATCATGCTGCCTCTCCCAGCCTGGAATGCTTGCGGGGAAAGGCTGTGACTTATTCAAATCTCTGACATAGAATTTGACAGAGTAGGGACCAGTAAACGTTTGTCAATTGAATGAAAGTTTCTGGTACTTCATCAGTCCAAATCATACTATATTGAATTCTTAGCTTCAGTTTCACATGCTTCCTGGTGAGACGGTCACCTCAGTCATAATAATATCAACCAACATCCCAGTGGCAATAATACCGACCCCACCCCAGTAGTGATACCAACCACCACTCCGTATTAACTCAGAGAACCTTACATGCATTTCATTTAATCCTAACAAAACACTAGGAGACAAGTGCCATTACTACTCTAATTTTAATATGAGGTCTCTGAGGCACAGAGAGGTTAAGTAATTTGCCAAGATCACCCAGCTAGTGGAACGGGTTGATCCTGGGGGCTCATTGTGCTGGATTCTCTCTTCATAAATACATCCTGATTTTCTAACTAAACTGCTTTGGAAACCCTGGGGAGTACTGGTTTTTCTTTGTTTTAGAGACAGGGTCTTCCTCTATCACCCAGGCTGGAGGGCAGTGGCACAATCATAGCTCACTGCAGCTTTGAACTCCTGGGCTCAAGTGATCCTCCCATCTCAGCCTCCCGAGTCACTGGGATTACAGGTATGCACCACCATGCCTGGTCCCTGGTGAACACTTGTGCATCCTGAACCTTGATTTCTCCCTCTGATTTGCCATAAATTGAGGCACAGGAATTTAAAATAATTTTTGTTTAATGAGAGCCTGAAACAAACTATTATTTCTCTCCCTGTTCATGATGCACAATTAAAATTATAAAATGAAGAACACCTGTAGAACAGGGAGATGATGCCCTTTAGTATGCAGCATAAGATGCCCTAAGCTTTACGGAAGTAAATATTTTAATCTTACTTGGGCCCAGGTATCTGGTCTTACCATCCTCCCACCCTCTCCACTGCCTGGAAAAATACTGGTTTTCACATTCACAAGGGCACACGTTGCTGCATGGAACTGAGCTATAATTATTCAAATTCTGAGTTGGGCTTTCATGAGCAGTCTTTTCAGCCCCAGAAGCACTAGTTTTATGAGCGGTCAAATGCAGCTCTCACTTGCAGTCGGAAGTCTTCCTGGATCCACTTATCACATTGGTTAGGGTGCAGCACAGTGTCAGAGGGCCCACAGTGGTGCCTGTGGATAGCCAAGCAGACAGCCCCAGAGCCTGCCCTTCTGCATGACTGACGTCCTCCACACTTGACCATGGAACAACTCCAGCCTTAGTAGGTACAACTCGCTTGTATTCCATCCTCAGCTTGGCTCCCTGTTGTTGGTTTCCTCTTGCTCAAACGTGTGACTCCAAGGTTGTATCTTATCCCATGGGTCTCCCAGACAGGCTCCCCTGATCACCACCCAGCTGCACATCTCCCTCCCACTCACCACAGCTGCATCTGCCTTCTTGTCTTAAACAATTCTGCAAAGAAGCTGCAGGTCTCATTGAGTGTCCCAGTCCCAAGGAGAGCCACAGATGAGACTGCCACAGCAGCTGAGTCAGCAGCAAGGATGCATGCAAAGGGGCAGTGCTGCAGCTACAACCTTCAGGCATGTCACACATGGGACCGTGAAAGAAGTATGGGTTTTGGAGCCACTCAGATCTGAGTTCAAGTTCTGCTCCCTCTAGTGAGTGTCTGTTGGTCACCTTCAATAAAGAACCAGAACTGTCAGTGGATATTTACTGAGCACTAATTCTGCCTCAGACATAGGCTATGCCCTGGAGATATGAGAATGCATAAGCTGGACCAGCCTCTGCCCTCAAGAGGCTTATAATCAAGGGAGCATTCAGACAATGTGGTAGTGTGAGGGTGTGGCCCCTCTGGGCCTCAGGTTCTTTCTCTTAAGCATAGCGATAATAAAACTTCTTCAGAGAATTGGCATATAGGAATATTAAATAATCTCCACTGAGAATATCTGGCAGAAGTCTTGTAGGTCCCTGTCTAGAGAGACAGAACTCTCAACTTCACCCACTCTATTTTCCTAGTCCAGAGTGACTTCTGTATACTCCTCCCTGGTCTCTGTCTCTTTTCTAAATTGCAACTGTCAAGAACACCAAAAGGTTCTTAGTAAGTTTTGACAAGTCTATGAGAACAGAAAGGGCCAGGAGGAGGTAGCCCCTTGATCCAGCCCTCCCTGAAGCCCTATCCCTGGAAAGAACAATTAAAAGTCACCATCTGATAGTGTTGCTGTGGGATCCTGGTTCTCCATGGCCCCAAGATGAACATACTGACCACCCTTGATAAGATTTTTCTTCCCTCTCCTGCTTCCCCTCCAAGGACTACATCTTTCAGTAAGCTGGGCCTTCCTCTGTTATGTGGAACAGGAGATTTGTTATATAGCAACAATATGAGAAAGGACTAAGCAGAAAGGACCCTCCTCCCCATGTACCACCATGGCCCACACCAAGCATTTGTCTTCTGCACCCCCAGAAGTGACACACAGTGTTGAAGTTGAGAGTTCCCAGTGGCTTCAGTTCTCACCATAGTCAGTGTTTTCAGGTTCCCAGCAGTTCGAAGGCCAGAAGTACGGAGCCTGCAAAGGAGCATGGGTGTTAGTGCTCAGGGGCGCGCCATGCCTGCGCTTCCCTCCCACACCCAGGGAGGAGCCTCCCTGATGGCAGGCTCTCCCCCATCTCCTTCTTGCTGATGCTACCCCACAATTCTCTCCTCTTCTCTAATTCAGCTAAGGTGAGTCAACATTTTAACCTAGGCATTGAGAAGCAAAATGTAAGTAAGCAAAACAAATGCAAAAATGTTAAGTTTTGTTCACAGGGCAATATATTCTTATCCTGAGACAATAGAGGTCTAAGTACAAAAGTCAGGCTGGCATAACTTACTGGGCACCTAAGCCCATGTTCCTTTCCTCCCTTTAACCTAGTCTGAAGAACTCTTCTCCCACACCCTTTGGTTAGACCTTGATTCAAGCCCATATCCTCTGCCCTCATTCCCTCTACGGAAGGATCTGGGAGAAGGAGTGTGAAATGGGTGGGGAGGGTGATTAGGTCGCAAATAGAAACTTCACTCCGAGAAGGCAACATGAGACAGTAGAAAGATCAAGGTCTGTGCTATCAGGCTCACTTAGGTTCAGATGAAGGCTGCTCCAGGATTTACTAAATGACACTTTAATTCTTTGAGCAATTCAGTTTTCTCCTCTGTAAAATGGGTAATATTTACCCCCTAAAGTGTGCTCTTCAGAATAAATGAGGAAATCTGTACAAAGTGTCTACCATGGTCTGAATGTCTGCATCCTCCTCAAATTCACATGTTGAAATCCTAATCCCCAAGGTGATGGTATTGGGAGGTGGGGCCTTTGAAGCCCTCACAGGTGAGATTAGTGCCTTTATAAAAGAGGTCTGATATAAGCCCCAGGTCCTGTCTGCCATGTGGGGATATAGCTAGAAGGTGCCATCTATGAGCCAGAGAGCAGGCCCTCACCAGACACCGAATCTGCTGGCACCTTGGTCTTGGACTTGCCAGCCTCCACAACCATGAGAAGTAAATTTTTTGTTTGTTTGTTTATAAGATACCCAGTTTAGGTATTTTGTTGTAGCAGCCCAAGGGACTAAGGCAGTGCCCAGGGCATGGTAGGCTCTCAATGACAGCCTTTTACTATTCTCTAAGTGGGTCACCCAGTGGCCCAGAGAAAAGTTCTCTTGGCTTTCCCAGTGCTGATGAGGAGTGAGGGCTACTCCCTCAGATATCCCTAGGTTTTCTTTGTAGTTCTAACCTAAGATCAGATGATGTTGTGAAGAAAAGGTTCTTCAGGAGGAGGAGCCAGCAGGCTTACCTGGAAACGATAAAAGGTGCCATCATCCTTCATGGTGAGAACATGGTCTGAGATTGGAAAGATGTAGCCCTGGGCAGCGATAAGGCTCCCCAAGTGTATTGCTTCAACTGTAAGAACAGTGCATAGAGAGAGAAGGAATTAGAAAGCAGGTTATTTGGCTGAAAATTAAGCTGGGAGACCAGAAGTCAACTGTCATCACCCCCAGATGTCTGTGTTGATGATACAATTGCCCTTGCTCAGTGTGGGGGTGAGGAGGGGAGATGCCAATGGCTGGAAAGGGCAACTATGTGTCTGGGACTTGTCTGAATCCCACCTCTGAGAGTCTGACATGGCTTAACCCCTCCTCACCCTGACCTTCAGAAGAAAGTCTGGCTTCAGGGTCAAGGGCATAAGTTCTGGCATAGAAGAACCTGTATTTAACTAAGTGAGATATTTCACATGAAGTGATTGTCTGGTACAGGTCAAATACTCCGTAAGTGCTAGCAGCTCTGATTCATACCAGTTTCATCATCCCCAGCAGTAAGAATGCAGCCTCGCTGCCCATAGAGACGTAGGACTCCCAGTGCGTTCCCCAATATGACAGTCCCATCAGGAATGAGAAGGGTGTCACCCTTCTCTTATGGACAGAGAGGAAAACCTCACTTCCTTTGAAAATTAGAGGAAGGACACTGAAGTGGGCAGTGACAGAGAGAGGCTAACCTGATAGAAATACTTATATTTTTGCCACAGTCAATCTGTTCCTTCGTTCCTTTGGCACCAGCCATAAATAGATGCACATAGAAAGTTGAGAATATAGGTCGGGCATGGTGGCTCACGCCTGTAATCCAGAGGCAGGCGGATTGCTTGAGCTCAGGAGTTTGAGACAAGCCTGAGCAACACAGCGAGACCCTGTCTCAATTAAAAAAAAAAAAGTTAAGAATTTAGATTTATCCTGAGCAGAGCTAAGAAAAAATAACAAACCTCAATGCTTCTACCACACACAATCTTTCACAAATCCAAAAGTACTGTTACAGGTTAAAACTAATTTTTGGACATGGAAATTGTTAATGTGCTCAGGGAGCCTCTAGCAATTATTAATTTCACGAGCTCTGACTTTTTAAAGTAGTTTGTTTTGGCTTTACTTGCAAACTTTTCAAGAAGTTGAATACAATGCAATGTTTTGCGTATCAAGAACCACCTATTCTCCTTTGAAAGAAACATACATGTAACTGGTGGAATTGGAATGAATAGAGTTTTATTTTACTTGCTTAGTGATGACCAATTTGCTATTTTTTTTTTTTTTTTTTTTTTTTTAGAGACAGGTCTGACTCTTGTCACCCAGGCTGGAGTGCAGTGGCATGATCACAGCTCATTGCAGACTTGAACTCCTGGGCTCAAGTGATACTTCTGCCCCAGCCTCCCAAGTAGCTGGAACCACAGGCACATGCCACCACGTCTGTCTAATTTTTTTTTTATTTTTTTTGGTAGAGGTAGGGTTTTGCCATCTTGCTCAGGCTGGTCTTGAACTCCTGGGCTCAAGCAGTCCTCCCAGCTGAGCCTCCCAAAGAGCTGCGATTACAGGCATGAGCTACCATGTCTGGCCGGTTTGCTTTTTAAAGTCCATATGCTTCAAGAACCATGAGTCCAGCTAGAACAGAAGTTTCATCATCAGCAGTTGCTCCTTCCCCAGAGAAGAAAGAACAAAATCCTGTAGGAAGGTGACTTTCATGCCACCAGTCTTGGAGCTAAGACTCTAACTTCATTCTCTGAGCAAAAATGTTTTTGCTTAGACGTTGGCCAATGGGGCCAGGTGCAGTGTCTCACACCTGTAATCCAAGCACTGTGGGAGGCCAAAGCAGAAGAATTGTTTGAGGTCAGGAGTTCAAGACCAGCCTGGATAACACAGTGAGATCCCCATCTCTACAAAAAATAAAACAAAAAATTAGCTGGATGTGGTGCTAGGAGCCTATAGTCCCAGCTACTCGGGAGACTGAGGTGGAAGATGGCTTGGGCCAGGGAGGTCAAGGCTGCAGTGAGCTATGCTCGTGCCACTGCACTCTAGCCTGGGTGACAGAGTGAGACCTTGCCTCAAAAACCAAAAAATAACCACAGGAAATCGACTGATGGGAAAAAGAAGGGAGAGAGGGGCAGATGCTGGATCTGACTGTTTCCCAAGGCCTCGGTTTGCCTCATCTCCCCCCTTAGACTATTCCCAGCTGACAAATGGTTCTTAGCTTCTCCTCAGCCACTTCTCAGAAGCCCAAACAGGCCCCTATACCATGATGTCTTCCCAAGGGCATCAGAGTATAACAGATTTTCATAGAAATAACTCTCATCATTCAGGACCCTTCACAGAAGCTTCTCACGCCAGGGCTGGAGGATTCCTGAAGCTCATTCTCACATACTGCTCGCCAATTTAGGGTTCTCATAATAGTAATAATAAAATATATGTCAGAAATACAACGATTATTTTAGGAGGCAAAGAAACCAGTGCTCTTGGAAGAGAAAAGGTGGCCATGAGGAAACACGTTCCTTAGTTTAGCATTATAATCACAAGAAATACTGACTTTAGATAAATGTAACTAAACAGGTAGATGCTGATTCAGTCCAGGCTTTCCAAGCGGACACTCAGAAGTACAGGCTGCATCAGGGACAACACATAGTGAGTTGCTTTGGGTTCTATCCTTTACAAAGGGTTAGCATTTATAGTTTTTTCCCTGTGAATCAAGAACTTGACTAGAATTAAGAATTTTCACTAGTTGTGAGAGTAGCCACTAATCAAGGGGGTGAAAAGACTCGGGCCACTTCTATGAATGATCTGCTTTTCTGGCACTCAGAGTTCTAACAACTGTATATAATTGAACTGCATAGAAACTGTATTGTTTTGCAGTCAACAGATTAGAAATGTTGGGTTAAAATACAGGAGTGCCAAGCTGACACACCGATTCCAGCAGGGACTCACAGCTGAAGGTCACGGATGCAGAATGGGCACTTCAAAAAAATCTTCAAAAAGCATTGTGGTTCAGGGCCATTTAATTTGGGGCAGGTAAGTCTAATCACGCCAATGTCCATTAAGAACATCAGAGTGTATTAGTGGATCTTTATAAATGTGACCTTCAGGCATCAAGAATACTCAGTTAATCAAGGCAAAGGAGTATGTAATAAATTCGGAAAAGTATTAACTGACAGCACATGGGAATAAGCTTTACTTATCTTGAATTTTTATTTTTCTGGAACACCCCCCCCATTTCCTAATTACACTGTGAAAATAAATTTTACTGCCTATTTTCTGGTGGGAGAACAGACTGGGAAATTGTTTTATTGGCCAGGGTTCTGTTGTTGTTTTCCTGGTAAGGTCTTCCTAATTGAAATGCGCAATTAAAGTTGAAAAAAAATCATTCCTTCACTTCTTGCAGAAGCAGAAAACAGAGGGAGTCTTAGCAAATAATTAAACATCTTAATTGTGGATCAGGCAATCTAATTTTAAGAGCTGGCTCTAGAAGGCTGTTCAGTGACAGTGCTACAACTTATCTTTAATTGCTGCAGCTAATGAGAATTCAACTCATTTCACACATTATTGTATTGGGCTCTTTGGCATTCTAAAAAGTTGCTCATTTCCTCAAAGCATGATTTAAATTTAAAGACAAATATTCAGTGGAGAAAATAAATTAATTTTATTTGTAAATAGAGTGATTCCACGTCTTGGAATTCACATTTACAAGACCAGTTCTCAGGAGGGCAGGGGAATCTAGTTTGGAACTTGGTTATGGGATGTTTACTGATACCAGGGGAGATAAGGGTGGGGTCAAAGGTCAAGTACCTGGGTCCTCAATGGAAAGGTTCTTCATAAGCCACTGCACAATGTCAGTACCTGCAACGATAAAGCAATTTCAGCTGAAGACCTCCTGGGTGTTTAACACTGTGGCAGAAGAAACATGTTTACCTAAGAGAATCCTAATTCCAAACAGTCCACACTGTAGAGCAGGATAATATGGGCACTTTTTTTTGTCCTAACCAACCCTTTCCATTCTTCAGTACACTTCCATAGTTACAATTCCATTCTTGTCCAAAAAACACTCACTTCTGATGATGCAGGATGAGCTTATATTCATGTTTCTAGGAAGTGTCTATAGAGGACTTCCCTGAGACGTGCTAGGTGAAGCTTTATCATGCCTGGCCCCCAGACCATTTCTTGAAGAAGGAGGCCTCATCAGCTCCCTACCATCAATTACAAGGGCTGACCAACACAGGTGACCTCATAGGTTCTTGCAAAACTCTCATCTCTTCCGGCACAGGCCTATCCTGAATGAATGTGTCCCTGCATTTGTGGCAGAAACGTCTATGTATTCACCAAGACCTCTTTCCTCTCCTCACTGTGCCATAGCTAGATTACATTTCCAGCCTCCCCTGCACTTAGATATGGACTGAGTTCTGCCAATAGAATATGGGTAGAAATGGCATATGCCACTTCCAGACCTGGACCATAAAAACTCCTACATGGCTCTCCTTAGCTCTGCCCCTTTCAATCCCATCTACTGGCTGGATGTGGGGGACTCCAAAGACCTGGGGGAATGCAGAGCCACAATAGGCAGGGAGCCACGGTTCCAACCATGGACATTACGCCCATGTGGGGCTCTGACTTGATTGAGGACTGAAAGGACTGAACTTTGTTGTGTTAAGCCCCTGAAATTTGGGACTTAGCTGTTTTGGTATCTAGTATTACCTTAACGAATATAAATCTTAAGAGTCTGAAGGAACTTTTTTTTTTTTTTTTTTTTTTTTTGAGACGGAGTCTCGCTCTGTCGCCCAGGCTGGAGTGCAGTGGCGGGATCTCGGCTCACTGCAAGCTCTGCCTCCCGGGTTCACGCCATTCTCCTGCCTCAGCCTCCCAAGTAGCTGGGACTACAGGCGCCTGCCACTACGCCCGGCTAATTTTTTTGTATTTTTAGTAGAGACGGGGTTTCACCGTTTTAGCCGGGATGGTCTCGATCTCCTGACCTCGTGATCCGCCCGCCTCGGCCTCCCAAAGTGCTGGGATTACAGGCATGAGCCACCGCGCCCGGCCCTGAAGGAACTTTTAAAGCTTGTCTACTCCAACCCCAGCCAATACATGTCCCATTCACAACACCCTGGACAAGAGGTGCTGTAACCTGTGTTTAGAATCCCTAGTACCTGGAAACTCACAAACTCCCCCCTACCCAGCCTGACCCAGTTAAATCAGCCTTGATTTATCTGAACAGAAACTTGCCCCTCTCTGACTTCCTCCCTTTGGCCTCAGTTTTGCCATTTGATGATAGAAAAACAAACCCCAACCTAACCACTCTGTGCGACAGCCCTTCAGCTATTCAGACAGTCCTGCGGCATACCAGCGACGTCCTCCCTCCAAGTGCAACAGGCCTGGGTCCCTCAGCTGCTTCCTTGCAGGGTGTGGCCTGGAGTTCCTCACCATATGTTCCCAATCCTCTGAATAAGTTCCCTTCTGTCTGCCTCTCTTTGAAAATGTGACCCGCAAACAATGTTCTGAGAGCAGCACTGTGTACATGGCAGTAGAGGAGTTCAGTTTTCTGGAAGGTTCTGAATTTCTGGTCAATCTACCTTTGCCACCCAAAGATCTCACTTTAAACCAGTGCAGACCATTGAAGGTGTGGCTTTGTCACCTCTAAATTGTTTGATGGAACACAGCCTGCAAGGGGAGACATTTTAGATATCAGAGTCCTACCGTGGGTCTGAGGCTTTGGTGAGAGGGAGGGGATGTGCCAAGAACTCTCCTGGGCTGGATTCCTGGCTGAAGGCCTGGGGATCCAGCAGAGGGGCTTCATGAGGATTGCCCTCTTCCCAGAAATCAGTTTTCTTAGATATGTGACTGGTGGCCAGAAGTGGGACTGGTACAGGACAGAAAGCCTAGACATTTTGTTTCTCTCTGGGTCCATGGCAGGTGAAGTAACCCTGCACAGTGGGACCCCCAGGGCCATCCTCATCCTCCTGTGTGCCCCAGTTCTGCCGACACAGCCTTGCAATTTTGCAGTTTCCCCGCGCCAACCTCAAAGGCAGCACTTCTAGGCTTCTCCTCACTCTTGCTACTCCTGGACAGCATCTGTGAGTCAAACTTTAGATCAAAAACACTCGTATTCATTCGTATTCTTGGAGAGAGAGAGAGAGAGAGAGAGAGAGAGAATGAATATGTGTGTGTGTACATGTGCCTGTGTGTCCCTTTCCTCCAAGTTATACAAGTTCAACATTTGTCCCAGGAAATGAAGAACAAAGCAGAAATCAAATAAGAACTGTAGTCCCAAGCTGGGGGTGGGAGAGATACTCTAATCTGTTTTTTCCTCAAAAGAAAAATAGTTCTGGCCAGGCGCAGTGGCTCATGCCTATAATCCCAACACTTTTGGAGACCGAGGAGGGTGGATCACGAGGTCAGGAGTTTGAGACCATCCTGGCCAACATGGTGAAACCCCGTCTCTATTAAAATACAAAACATTAGCCAGGCGTGGTGCCACATGCCTGAGTCCCAGCTACTCGGGAGGCTCAGGCAGGGGAATTGCTTGAACACGGGAGGTGGAGGTTGCAGTGAGCCGAGATCGCGCCACTACACTCCAGCCTGGCCACAGAGTGAGACGCTGTCTCAAAAAAGAAAAAAAAAATAGTTCTTTTCTGTGGGTTGCCTAGAAACTGTGAGGTTTCCTGCATTAGCTGAGTTCTCCCCCAGGCCTGCGGATTATCTTTCTGCTGAGCTTGCTGAACCATTATTTATCACCTGCCAAGATTGATTACTCACCCTGGGACAATGACAGCCCTTCCTTTCCCCTGTTAATTACTGTCATCATTAATATCCATGTCACTAATTAGTATTCATTCACATTGAAACTCCTTCCTTGCTATCATATCCGCTCCCCCCAACCACCCCAACCCCCGGCTCAGCACCGTTGTCTGGGTTTCCACCCGCTTTTGGCTTCCTGTGCTCAGCCTTTGGCCTAATTGTTCTCCCCAGTCCACCAGGCCGTGGTTTGCATTTACAGAGCTAAAGAATCACATTTAAGCACTTTTGTTTCTAAAGAAGGGAAAATCACAAAAACCCATTTCCTTTTTTCCCTAGCCCCATGGAGACCACAGAGTGGAGTTTCTTTTCCCTGGTTCAGCCACCATGACAGCTGCTGTCTCATCTGGAGACTGATGCAACAGTCCTCAGGTCCAGGCAAGGGCTGAGCGGCTGCCCCTGGCTGCCTGGGACACTGCACTCAATCTGCAGTGGCATCTACTCCGCCACCATCCCTTCCATGCCATGGCAATGCTTGGTAGACTCCATTTCAGCACAAGCAACAACACCTAGAGACAGGGGGACGTGCTCACTCTCACAGGCATTGGGTATTCCAGGCTTCCTTGGACCAACCCAGGAGTGGCCAAGCCTCCAGCCCGTGGCAGGGAGTAAATCATTGTGTGTGCAGCCCCAGGAACAAGTCAGAAAGGGAAATCTGTCATAATATCGCGTCCTTTAAAACATTTACAGTGATTACGCTGTAGCATCTGACAAGAGTAGTCCAAACATCCAAATCACCAGCAGGAGAAAGCATTTCCATTCTTTTTTCACTTTCCTTTCTTGCCTCTTTCCTTCCTTCCTGCTAACCCACGATCACCCTTTCCTTCCTGTTCTAAAGAGAATTTGAAGCGGATTCCTTTTCTGTTCTATCTAAGATTAATTGTTGCCTTGTTACCACGACTGGTTTCTGGATCTTATCTTAGTCAAGCTGCTTTGCCAAGGACTTAAAGTTAATAAAACAACATAACAAATGCTATGTTGAAACAACATAACAAATGCAGGATGGCCACCCTTTGTTCCCACAGATCCTAAAACACTGTCTGAAAGCATTCTTTTTGAGGCTGATTTATCAATATATATTCCAGGGATATCCAGGATATACACCAGACGGCACCCAAAACACCTCTCCATTGCATGCGTGTTTTATTAGTATATTTAAGGATATATTTATGATATGCAGTTATGGGTTATGTTTCTGTATGTGTTATATGTATTTCAATTATGTCTTTTATATCTAAAATCATGTTTATTAGATGACTGGGAACAAACCAAAGGCCTCTAATAGAGGACTGAATAAATAAATTATGGCTCATTCATGCAATAAATATTTATTAAACATCTACAGTGGAAAAGCATCTTGAGAACAGGGTTACTGTAAAATATTTATGTTCTATTAATTATATATGTATAGATATATATAAATATGGAGAGGAAAAATTCTGGATATATATTTAAATTGTTAACTTTAGGTTATTTTGGGGAGCGGGAGGCATCAAATAATGGGAAATTTCTATTCTTTACATTTCTGTATTATTTGAAGTTCATAGAACATTCATATAATACTTTTACACTAGAAAAATAAGTTTTTATTTTAAAAAGCACAGAGAGAAGAAAGAGCTGGCCTCTGAGGCCAAAGTGGAGATGGTATGGGTAACTTTGGACGGCCTCTGGCTATCCTCAAGCCCTGGCCATTTCCTGCTCTCTGGGGAAAGGGCCAGGAGACTCAAAGCTCTCTTTTTCCTGAGGGGTAAACAGTGGGAGGCTCAATCCCGAGGCTCAATAGTGTGCCTCCAGTTGGCCACTCTCTGGCCATCTGCCACTCCTGGAGCCTCAGAGCGACCCTTTATAGACTCTGACAGGGCTGTCCACCCAGAGTCCGGCCTAAGGGTGCCAACCTGCACCTCTCCTCTGTGTTTGTTAGCTTGTTTACTTGGTGGGAGTAAGACGCAGTGATCTTTTCCTGGTGCCTTTCCATGCTGAATTAACGCTGTTGAGTAAGCTGTAAGGGGTTTCTGTTTCTGGTTTCAGGCAGACACTCATAAAATTCAGGGCTTTGTCTTCAGGTGTTTTAAGCTCCTCCAAAATTGTAGAATTTGACAGGGATAGCTTCCTCCCATTAACGCATCAGAACCGCAGGAGATCCTAGTATAAAACACTCCCCTGATTCTTCCCAAAGCATTCTATCAATCTGAGCCCAGATCAGATTATGCAAAGTTGATAAAAAGACTGGTTCCCATCACCTGCAAAATTCCAGTAACTTGAAACCTGGTGGATTATACAGTACATCATAGTACTGATAAATGAAGCAATTCATAAACTAATTATCAATCTTGACTGTTGGGGAAAGACACTTTCTTTTGAGTAAAATGTTTCTGGAGCCGTATGAATGATCAGATGGTTCCTGCCATGAGTGAACTCACCATACTCTTCAGTCAAGGTTATGACTTGATCCATTGGATTTTCACATTCCTGCCAGGCCTCTGCTGCACCTCTGGGTGGGGAGGACAGCTTCAGGCCACCTTATCACATAGATGTCATGCACAGGCCAATGCTTATGAAGGCGGAGTGACATTTCCTGAGTGCCCATGGTGTACCAGGCCAGAGCTGGGCACTTGACCCTGTTATCGCATGTTATCTTGACAATAATTGTGTCCAATATGATAATTATTATATCCATTTTAAAGATTAGGCCCAGAGAGGCTCAAGACCACAGGCTACTACTGATGGAATCCAGGCAATTTCATGCCAAATATTATTTCCACTATACTATTCTGTGTCTCTTAACTCTGTATAACTTTCCAAGTAGTATAAAGAAAAAACAATTAGAAAACCGATATTCTGTATGTATTCAGTTTTTTTCCTGAAACAGAGGCATTAATTTAGTGATAATAATAATTGGTACTATTATTAGCTGTTGAACTAATAATTTACTGAGTACTTTCTATATTCCAGGCTCTGGAATAATCCTGCTATACTAATCCTATGTTGTAAATAGCATATTATTATCTCCATTTTGCAAATGAATGGAAGGATATTCTAAGTAGGACAATCTTTACCGTCTTTTTTTTTTCTTTTATGCCTTAATTGAAAAAAAATGCAATGATCAGCTAGCAGAGAAAGCTTAACTAAGAGGAAATGTTAAACTGGGCTTTGGAGGGTGAGCACAATGAGTAGGTGGCAGTAAGACAGAAGGGAACACAGGTGGAGAAACACAGTGATGAAAAGTTCAGTGTCATTTTCAAGTAGTATTGTTTGGTCAATGGGCTTGAGTTTTTCCAAGGAAAAGCGTGGCAAATTTCACACTCACTTGCTTACCAAGCATAGGAAATGATAAGGTGCAGCATTTATAAAGTCAGACACACTTGAGAGCAACTCATGGTACATCACTTACAAACGGTGGGAACCTGGGCAGGTCCCTTACCCACCACCTGCCCTGATCTCCATTTCTTCATACGTCAACTAGGGTGAAGTGCTGTCTAGTTAAGAATAAGGCCAGGTATACAAAACTCTCTTCACAATGCCTGGTTCATGGTTTTGCTGAAATGATCTGGTTGTTAGCAAGTCATCTGCTGGCCCTGTGCGTTTATTTCCTCATATGAAAAGAGAACAGTACACTGCGGGAGGCCGAGGTGGGTGGATCACCTGAGGTCATGATTTTGAGACCAGCCTGGCCAACATGGTGAAACCCTGACTCTACTAAAAACACAAAAATTAGCTTGGTGTGGTGGCGGGCACTTGTAATCCCAGCTACTTGGGAGGCTGAGGCAGGGAGAATTGCTTCAACCCGCGAGGTGGAGGTTGTAGTGAGCCGAGATCGTGCCACTGCACTGCAGCCTGGGAAACAAGAGCGAAACTCCGTCTCAAAAATAAAGAAAACAGGACAGTAATAATGGGACCCATCATCTTGACTGTGAGGGGTAATGAACCCATGCAGAGTGCCTGACATATCATAAGCATTAATATTAATACACATTGGCTACTCACAGAGCCCATGTTTCAGGGACCTCATACCAGCCAAGTGTCTAACCCAGTCATCTGCGTGGCTGGGAGAGACAGCAGTAACTTGGAATCCTTGTGTTACTTATCAGCTTTTAAATTTTAGGCCTTAGAGAAACTCAAAATGTCTTCTGGTGCTTTTAGACTGGGATCTTCCGATAGACAGCTTGTTGGACAGAAGGGGAAATGAGGAGGGCATTGTGGCTGGACAACTCTACTAGTCTGGTGAGGCCTCACTGAGAGACTGGGACCTCTGCCCAGCAGCTTTTCTGTGATCCAGGATGCGCATTTCCCGGAAGTGAGGGCAGAAAGCAAAATAGGTGCCCTCACCCCACTGTAATTCAGTTGAAGGTAATGGAGTAAACATCTTTCTGGTTTGGGGTGCTCTGGTTGCATCCATCCCAACACCCTCTTCTTCTTCCCCCACCTCTCCTGCCTTGGGACTGCCTTTCCCTTCCCAGAATGCAACAGTCTCCATTGCACCACAGGATCTTTGCATCTGCTACTCCCTGGGCCTGTCGTGCCTTCCCTTCCTCCTCCCACCTCTTCCTCTAGCTCAGGGGTCCTCAGCCTCCCAACAGGTAATGGTCCCTGGCCTGTTAGGAACCAGGCCTCACAACAGGAGGTGAGTGGCGGGTGAGCAAGTGAAGCTTCATCTGTATTTACAGCCCCTCCCCATCACTCACATTACTGCCTGAGCTCTGCCTCCTGTCAGATCAGCAGTGGCATTAGATTCTCACAGGAGCATGAACCCTATTGTGAACTGTGCATGCCAGGTAGGTTGCACGCTCCTTATGAGAATCTAATGCCTGATGTTCTGTTCCTGTCTCCCATCACCCCCCAGGTGCGACTGTCTAGTTACAGGAAAACAAGCTCAGGGCTCCCACTAATTCTACATTGTGGTGAGTTGTATAATTATTTCCTTATATGTTATAATGTAATAATAGAAATAAAGTACACAATAAATGTAATGCACTTGAATCATCCTGAAACCATCCCCCACAACCCTGGTCCGTGGAAAAACTGTCTTCCATGAAACTGGTCCCTGGTGCCAAAAAGGCTGGGGAACACAGCTCTAGCTGACTCTGACACATCCTTCAGCCCTAACTCCCTCGGGAAGGCCTTCATTGCCCTCCAGACTGGCTCAAGGTCCTTTGGCTTTCAACGTCAAGAGAACAAGGTTCTTTCTCCTTGAAGCATTTATCTCAGTTTGGAATTAGCCACAATGTAATTATTTGATCGATGTCTGTTTCCTCTTCTATATTAGTTTGCTATGACTTCCATGACAAGGTATCACAAACTGGGTGGCTTAGACAACAGCAATTTATTGTCTATGGTTCTGGAGGCCAGACAGCTAAGATCCAGGTGTCGAACGGGTTGGTTCTTCCTGAGGGCTGTGAGGGAGAATCTGTCCCAGGCCTCTCCCGATCTTCCCAAGTGGCTGGGACCACAGGCATGTACCACCATGCTGGCTAATTTTTAAATTTTTTGTAGAGACAGGGTCTCCTTATGTTACTCAGGCTGGTCTCTAACTTCTGGGCTGAAGTGATCCTCCTGCCTTGGCCTCCCAAAGTGCTGGGATTACAGGTGTGAACCACGATGACTGGCCCAAATTTCCCTTTAATAAGACTACCAGTCATACCAGATTAGGGCCCACCCTAATTATCTCACCTTAACTAATTACATCTGCAATGACTCTATTTCCAAATAAGGTCACATTTTGGAGTTCTAGTGTTTAGAACTTCAATATATGAATTTTTGAGAGAACATAATTCAACCCATAATGCCCACTAAACTGTAGCTCCAAGAGAGCAGGGACCCTGTTAGTTCTGTCCCTGGCATGGAGTAAACAAACATCTGGTACAGAGTTGGGGTCTAATGAATGCTTATTCGTTGATAGTTGTATTCAAATACACATCATAATACATAAACACCCACACATGTATATTCAGTATGTTTTAAATTTTTCCTCAATTGTTTTGTGGCCCTTGAAAACATCATCACAATCTAGTACCAGACATCATATAGGCAGTTTACAAACACTGCCTTAGAGGAAAGGTTCAGGGTCTTTCACCCACTGATACTGTTAAAAAAAAAAAAAAAATCACATCTTTTTGCCTGTAATCCCAGCACTTTGGGAGGCCAAGGCAGGTGGATTGCCTGAGGTCAGGAGTTCGAGACCAGCCTGGCCAACATGGTGAAACCCTGTCTTTACTAAAAATACAAAAATTAGCTGGGCATGGTGGCAGGTGCCTGTAGTCCCAGCTACTTGGATGACTAAGGCAGGAGAAGTGCTTGAACCTGGGAGGCGGAGGTTGTAGTAAGCCGACTGCACCACTACACTCCAGCCTGGGCGACAGCATGAGACTCCGTCTCAAAAAACAAAACAAAACAAAACAAAACAGAGAAATCTCAACAAATTACTACTTAAACAAATATTAGGTAGCAATTCAAAGCCTCCTCCTTTTCCTTATTAAAAACTGGCTGTCACTGGGAAGAGGACAGCAGGCAGAAGGAAAGGTAAAGTCTTCAGCTCTTTACCTCCAGGCTGAGAGACACTCACTGGCCCCCTCCCACCTTTTTGGCCTGTCCTCGCTGCTCAACTGGCTTCCAGACTGCAGGGTGAGCCTGCTTTTTGACTGGCTTTTGTCCAGCGGATAATTTTCCCTTCTTAACAGGCAGGTCTCTGAGTCATTCTGACGTGGTCTTGAACAGGTGGGAGGCATTACATCCAGACACAGCAAATACGATTTTGGGCCCAGTGATCCCTCAAGCATCCTGCCATATGCACTCCTAAACCAGGGGTCATCAACCTGGGGTCTTCTCCCAGGTTGGCCAGATCAGCTTGCTGGCCTCCATGGGTATATGACAACGGCACCCCGTGGTGACCCACAGAAGGAAAGCGAAGGACTTAGCTGTAGCTGGGATGGAGAAGGAGGAATCTCAGGTTTCTCCTGATATTTTGCCTCAAGAACTGGAAACTGATCTGGGAGTAGATCCCACGCTGAGGGAGAAGACCCCAGACCGAGAAAGGATGGGCTCATCTATTTGAATGAAACAGAGAAGCTTGAAAAAGCCAAGATAAAGCAATTCCTGAAACGTCCAGGACTAGAAGACCTGCAGCGAAGGCCTGGGGAGATGGGGCAGGAGAGACAATCAGCTGCGGGGAAGCCCTTGGCCACTGTTCTCCCCCAAGCCCCATCCCCCCTCACCTCCCTCCCACTCAGACTGTGCACTTCCCCATTCTCTGATATTTAAAGCTTTCCTGTGCATTATGAAAAATAATAGGGGCCAGGAGACCCAGCGAGGTTATTACCAACTCATAAATCAACCAGGAGGCTCTGAGGGCTGTGGCGAGGTGTCTGAAATGGGTTCCCCTGGTTTGTTATCTCACCTGAGCCCCCACAATTGATTCATAACCTCATAACCCTCCCACATCCGAATCCCAAGTCTTATATCTAATTGTCAGCAGCCGAGTACATGATTTGCAAGAGGATGTGGGCAGCAGCAGACGTGGGGGTGGAGGAGAGATTAGTTTTGTCAATCAAAAGCGTCCAGGGCAAGGGGAGAGTGTGCGGGATTTAGCTCAACAATCAGCTTATTAAATGGAGGCTGGGTATGGGCTACATTGATTAGGCCTCAGTGCAGGAAGATGGAGGATCGTTGCCACTGTGGACATCGTTTCTGTTCCCCGAGGGTGGCTGTCACTGATGACTGCCTTCCACTCAATCCAAAGGCAGAAATAAGAATCGAATAAGCAGAGCTGCAGCTTTGGGAGAGAAGTGATCTAATGTCAGGTGCCCAGTAGCACCCACCAGAGAGCATGACAGATGTTTCGAGGGCAGCTGAGCATATTTCTGGGATGGCTGGGAGGGACCTGATGGCTGGCAGGCTTGGGGGTTTTATTACCTTCCAGTGGTGTCTAACGGTCACTTCATTTGTGCAAATTTGAATCTGAAAAGTAGTGTATGAACATTTTATATTGAAAATAATCTAGGGGGCTAAGGCTTTCTTGAGGACAGCAGGAGAGGCAAGGGGTCATCTTTCAGATGCCAGGGCTGCAGGCCATAGTTACTCACCAGGACTGTGATCAGCCTAACCACAGGGTTAGCACAGCAACACTGCTAGCACTTCCACAGCATGTGCTGAGATTGAAAGTCTGCAAAGCACACTGAAGTCTGCCACCACTTTGGAACGGAGGAGGTCTGCACAGCAGGGTGTGTGAGTAAACCAGGTTTCAAGCATGGTCTGGGACATACAAGTTCTTGAGCAAAGATCTTACGGGTATAGTGCTCTGAACCTCAGTTTACCCATCTGCAAAATGGGGCCAGCCCTAGAGTCTACCTCAGACTCTGTTCTGTGAGAGTTTGAAATGAGGAAATGTAGGTAAAGACATTTAGCAGTCTCTGACACTTACCCTCCCTCCTTTTCCATCAAGTATCCCTTCCATCTGCCGAAACTGGAAGCTGTCTTGGAGCTGATCTCCTGGTGGAGATTCCTAAGTTATAATTTAGCCTTTCTGCCCCATCTCCCCAGGCCTTTGCTACAGGTTTTCCAGCCCTGGACGGTTCAGGAATTGCCCTACCTTGGGTCTTCCAAGCTTCTCTGTTTTCAATCAAATAGATGAGCCCATCCTTTCTTGGTCTGGGGCCTTCTCCCTCAGTGTGGGATCTACTCCCAGATCAATTTCCAGTTCTTGAGGCAAAATATGACGAGAAGCCTGAGATTCCTCTTTCTCCATCCCAGCTACAGCTAAGCCCTTTGCTTTCCTTCACCCATAGGAGTGGCCAGGAGGCACACGGCTTGGGTATGAATCCAGGCTCCCCTCCCACCAGCTCTGTGACCTTCCATCCTTCAGTTTCTGTAGAATACGATAGAAGTGCAGTCTGAGAGAGTGGACATGAGGATAACACCTGTAAGATGTTCAGTCCTATGTCCTGTGGCACACAGCCAATGGTCAGTAAGTGGTGAGTTTATCATTGTTGTCATTGCCGTTATTACGACTTGAACATTTTTATTCATCCACCAGCAATGATGAATAAGACAGGGCTCTGTCCTTAAACTGGTGCACCAGAATGTTACAAGGGCTATGATTGAACTATTTGTGGGGTGCTATGGGGACACAGACAGGGGAGTAATTCTGGGTGACCCAGTGTCAAGAAAAGGCTCACAGAGGACACACTTGGGATCAATGGGAAACAGTGAAAAGAGATTGATTGAGCAGTGGGTATTAGATGCAGGCTCAAGGAGGACTCATGCAGAACAGCCTGCAGCTCACCATGCTAACAGGACTCCATGACATCTAACATTTATATCCAGGTCAAACGGGGTTTCACAGCAAGTCCCTATGAAATGGAAAAGAGTCCTAGAAGGGCAAAGTCACCAGCATGCTCTGGCATGACCTACATACAAAGCACTATGCCAGACACCAGACTCTCTGCCAGACACCAGAGATTCAAGCATCAAGCAGAAAGAGAACCGAGCTTAAGAACCAGAGGGAAATCATCTCAGCGTTGGTGAGGACTGATCTCCTGTTTCCCAGCATCAGGATGCAAACATTTCCCTCCATTCCAGTTCTCAACCCCATGGCTGGGCCTCATGGCATTCCAGCATCGCTATGAGTGCACCTTTCCTGCAGGCTGCCTCGGGTAGCTGGTGCACTGCTAGGTCAGTCTATGTGACCAGGAGCTGGGCCTCTGGGCAATGCCAGTTGGCAGCCCCCATCCCTCCACTGCTGGGGGCCTCCTATCCAGAAGGGCTTGGTGTGCAGAACGATGGTGCACCATCATCATTCCCCACTTGCCATCTTTCAGGGGACAGCCAGCTGCTTTGGGCGCGGCAAAAAACACCCAACTCACTCCTCTTCAGGGGCCTCTGGTCTGATGCCACCACAGGACATCCTTGAGTGCTGGGCAGTCTGAGGACAGGGAAGGAGTGATGACCACAAAACAGGAATGGCAGCAGCAGTGACAGGAGGAAGTCAAAGGCTTGTGTGTCCTGGCCCTGCTGAGGGCTGGCGAGGGCCCTGGGATGGCGCTCAGTGCCTGGTCGGCTGCAAGAGGCCAGCCCTCTGCCCATGAGGGGAGCTGGCAGTGACCAAGCTGCACTGCCCTGGTGGTGCATTTCCTGCCCCACTCTTTCCTTCTAAGATCCCTAATTCCATTTTTTTCTTTGGATATTTAGATAAGGGGTCAAGGCCTGGCTTTGCAGGACTGGTGAGAAAACTGAAGCCAGTCATGTGAGACTGAGGAGAGATTTTAGAGACTGCAATTCAGACCTCCACACTTTTTCTGGTTCCTGCAGGGAGAGGAAGGGACACTGAAGGGAGGGAGGCTAGGTCCCTGAGGCCTGCAGGGGTCTGCCTTCCTCTTCTGTACCCCTTCAGCCTCTCATTCCAGCCCTCCTTCACCTCCCAAATAGACAAGGTGCCCTCTAATCCCTACCCCTCAATATCAGTGCACAGTGATTGCCCGTCTCTTATTAATACAGAAGCTGTACCTGCACACACTCACACAGTCATACATACCTGCACACATGCATAGATGCAACAGACACCCAACTCGCATGCAGGCAACACTCACACTAACTCATACCCACCTGCACACACGCACAGATGCAACACACATACAACTCATGCATGCATGCAACGCTCACACATATTCACACCCACTTACACACCTGCGCATGTGCATAGACACAAGACACACAACCCTCACATATGCCCGCAACTCACACTCATGCACCTAATAGCTCCTGTAATATGTTCCCACCCCCTAAAACCCTGAAAAATGACAAAAACAGCTCAGGTTAAGAACAGAGTTTTAGGAAATAACTATATGTTATCTGCTAGAAATCTAAGTAATAAGCATAGCTCACCAGGCGCGGTGGTTCACGTTTATAATCCCAGCACTTTGGGAGGCCGAGGCAGGCAGATCACCTGAGGTCAGGAGTTTGAGACCAGCCTGGCCAACATGGTGAAACCCCGTCTATACTAAAAATACAAAAATTAGCCGGGCATGGTGGCATGTACCTGTAATCCCAGCTACATGGGAGGCTGAGGCAGGAGAATCGCTTGAACCCGGGAGGCAGACTGCAGTGAGCCGAGATCATGCCACTGCACTCCAACCTGGGCAACAGAGCGAGACTCCATCTCAAAAAAAAAAAAAAAAAAGAAGTGTAGGTCAAATTTCAACATCACTCATATGCTCAGCTTCTCTAAGTCCATTTGCTAGAAATAATCTTAACTGCCTGCTTGCAGTAGTCGGACAGAAGCAAAGAGGGTCTGAGCGCAGAGCCCAGGGGAGGGAGAAATAAATCCCCTGAGCAAACTGCATTATTTTCAAGATGTCAAATACATTTTCTCTCTCAAGCTCCTAGGTGATTTTGGTCCTCTATGGTTATGGAGTGGTCTTGTAGCTGAGGGGCAGAAGGCTGGGATATCAGGTAGGATAAGAAAGGGAAGAAAGCAAAGCGCAAGTGCTGTCACCACAAATAGACACATTTGTAGAAAGCAGCATCACGTGGATGCTAACAGGGCCCCGAAATGCCACAGCTGGGGAGGGTGTAAGGAAGGTGCTTTAGACAAAGGTTTGGGTGGGTTAGGGATTGTGGAGCAGCCTGCGGCTAGAGCAACAACTAGAGGAAGTTTCCAACCTCAGGTCGAATGGGGTAGCAAGGAGGAACAGTTACAGGAACCCACAGGATGTGGTCTTTCTAGGAGAAGGTGGACAGACAGAAGCCACAGCCTTCAGCAGAACACAGCTACTCTCTGATGAAGGTCTGCCAGGGAATAAGTTACCTGGTCTCCCTCTCCTCCCCTCTGATCTCCTGTTGGTGTCACCCATCAGTTGAAGCCTTGTACCCAGAGGGCAAGGGAGCTTACTGAGGCAGCTGTAGTGACAGCCCGTGAGGCACAGAGGCAGGTAAGAAGGGTGGAGAGTGGCTCTGGAGGGACAAGTGGAGAATGTCCAGCTCAGATGTGGAGGAGAGAAAGTATTTATTGCATAGGCTTAGCGATAGCCTTGTAGAGCTAAGCTTTGTTATTTGGCACACTTTGCTTCCAAAGAGCAGGGTTTTCTTCTGATGTCCTGGTTACTGCAATCTACACTGATACTTTGCATCTACAAAGAGATCTAGAGCTCACAAAGGCCTCACACGCATCACCTCTCGTTTCACCCTTACAATACACCTGAGCCTTTGCACCCATGTGCCCATTTTATAACTGAAGAAACCGAGGTTTGGGTCACCTCATGGTTTCTTACTTTGTTTATGCATTCACTAAAGCATTTATCGAGCTCCTACTGTGCCCCATATCGTTCTCTGTGCTGAAGTGGGGAATGAGACAGAAACAGATGTGGTCCCTGACCTCTCTAAGCTTACTCTGTAATGGAGGAGTCAATGAACAAGGAAACTGCATGAAACCAAGGAAAAACAGCGCAATAATGAAGCTAGAATGGGAGTTGGGAGAGAGGATCACTGGGGACTACTGAGATTGGGGAGGGGAGTGCAATAAACTTCATTCATTGAGAATAAAGAACTCAGGAACAAGAAGGAGATGGTCGTGTGACTCTTTGGAGGAAGAGCCTCCCCATCAGAGGAACAGCCAAGGCCAGATCTCCAAGGCAGGAAGCAAGCTTGATCTGTCCAGAGGGCAAGAGGCAGGCTCGTACGCCTGGAGGTTGGCCACACAGAACACAGTGGAGAGGAGACCAGGAAGGCAGGGGCTGTGTCAGGTTTTAAAAGAAATAGAAAGTCCTGGAAGGCTTCAAGTGGTAAGGGGTCCAGTTTATGTTTTTAAAAGATGTTAGCTGCTGAGTGCAGAATGGATTGTAAAGGGAGAGGAGTAGAAGCAAGGAGACCAGTTTGGAACTGTGTCCACTGGGTTAGAGAAATGGAAGGCTGGTTGGGCACAGGTGATATGGTGAAATCAAGAGAAGCAAATGGGTTTGGAGGCAAGGCTCCTGGTCCTCTCTGATGGATGGGGCTTGCCCATGAGAAAAAGAGGAGTCTCGAGTGACTCCAGGTTTCTAGCTTAACTAGTTGGGTGCACGGTGGAGCTTACATCAACTGAGATGAGAAAACAGGATGGGGAGGACACCTGGGCTTGCGTGCTAGCCATGTTTCGCCTGAGGTCTGTAGGAGCCATCTGAGTAGGGACATGGAGTGGCTGTTGAATCTGGATTTGTGGGGAGAGAGCTGGCTGGAGATAGTATTTGAGAGTCACTGGTGTGTAGGAATGCACTTCAGGCAGCGAGGCTGGATGAGGTCACCCAAGGAGAAAATGCAGAGAGAGAAGAGGGGCTCGGAACCAAGGCCTTGGCTTGTGAGCAGGTGGCAACAGGGACCCCTGGCATGTCTGTTCTCAATTTGGAATGTCTCCTGTCACCTGAGCTTCACTCTTCTGTGACTTAACCTGTGACAATGGCAGTCCATTCCCCTCTCTCGGGAAAAAGCAAGAAAAATGAGCTCCAACAGCTGAACCCTCCACCAGGCCCTCCTGGAACCTGTCTGTTATTTCCACCCCCCTTTTTCCTGCTCCTGTCTTGATTCACAAAAAAATCTACACCGACCACCACTGATGGCATCTGATGGCTCTGCCCTATGACCAAGTCAGATAGACAGCTAAAAATGTCTGTGTTCTCTTCTGATTAATAACAAGTTTAAACTTGTTTTCTGACTTGTCTATCACTAAATCACAGCAGACTCCCTGAAGTATCTTGTGCAACTTAGGAGCAGGGGACGCTGCTTCCAAGTGGATACAGTCACACAGCCAGACAAGTGACTTCAAGCCCCAGATCCCAGTGTGCTGGAAGACTGCGGGGTGGAATGTCATCAGAGCCAGGCATCTTTCTAATGTGCCATCTTCCTCTCACATTGATCAACTTCAGACCAAGAGAAACGGTCTTCTGTTCAGAGAACACGCTAAGAATGTTCCCAAATGGGAAAACCCTGTGAATGGGAAAAGGATGGTGTAAATATAAAACTCATTGTGAATTTATTCCTTTTAGCCCTGTTTTCTCATCACTACCCCTGCCCCCAGGTGCTGGTTACTTGCAAAATGGATTAGATTTCAAGCAGCAAATAATTTTAAACATTGCTAAAACTAATAAAGGGAATACAATAGGACCCAGATAATGAATGAGGAGAGAGCTGAATGAGGAAACCCCAGCAAAGGATAGCTGCTGTAGGTGCTTACAGAATCTAGGTTGTGATTTTTTTTTTCCTTTTTTTTTTTTTTTTTTTTTTGAGATGGAGTCTCACTCTGTAGTCCAGGCTGGAGTGCAGTGGCATGATCTCGGCTCACTGCAACCCCCGCCTCCTGGGTTCAAGCGATTCTCCTGTCTCAGCCTCCCGAGTAGATGGGATTACAGGCACCCGCCACCATGCCTGGCTAATTTTTTTTTTTTTTTTTTTTTTTTGTATTTTTAGTAAAGACGGGGTTTCACCATGATGGCCAAGCTGGTCTGGAACTCCTGACCTCAGGTGATTCCCCCCACCTTGGCCTCCCAAAGTGCTGGGATTACAGGCATGAGCCACCATGCCTGGCCATGATTGTTGACAATAAAAAAATGAAACAGAACAAAGGCACTTCTTGAAACCACAAAGGCATTTCTTGGTCTGTCTCTCCATTAATGCAGTGAGGGTTCTTAAGGTGAGGGACCCTCATCTCTTCAACTCTGCACTCTGACTCACTGCAGAGGCCACACCATAGATTTCCAATAAACATCTGATGAATACACTAAGGAGTGTTGCTAAATCAATGATTTGAATCTTGGTGTCACTAATAACGATGCTGGTTTTCCTTACAGACATTGGTTTTGATTGTTTGGTTACTTTTTAGGTCCACCTCTGACTTCTGATATTAATAGTAAGACAGGTCAGTGGAAAGTTACCTTGCTATTTGCTATTTCAGGTTGTTAAATACATTTATGTTAAGAGGAAATGACCACATTTTGAGCTAATCAGGACTAGAAATTGATAGGTCAGTAGCCCATTTCTGCCCACCTGATTCTCCGGGGAGTAAGATGTAGACCATGATCAAAGCTCTGGAAGAATGTTAACAGCCCAGATTAATATTGAGGTTGTATGGCTCAGTGTATAGGCAGAGCCAGAGGCTGAACTGATCAATAAATGATAAACATACTGTCTGTTTTTGGAACACATTTTCTGAGCAATGGTCATATCCATGCTTACTACCTATCTGTTCCTTAGGCAGGGTAGTAGGCTGAGAGAACCAGCCTTGCAGTTTATTAAGAAGAGAGTCATGTATAGTTTTAAGGGATTGAGATTAGGTCCAGCTGTATGTTCCAGAAAAAAAAAAACAAATAAGATGGCAGTAGCTTAAACAAGATAGAAGTGTATTTGGTAAAAGGTGGCTCCATGGCATCATCAGGAATTTATATCTTAATGTTTCTCTTCTACCATCCTAGTGCTTGACTTCCATCCGCAAGGCCACCTCATGGTTCACAATGGCTGCTAAAGCATCAGCCATCATATCTCAGCTTTAGAAAGGAAAGGCAGAAGGGTCAAAGAGGGTCCTTCCCAGTTGAGACACCTCCCTTTGAGCACATTTCTGAAAATGCCATACTCTACTTACTTACTCTACTTATACATGACAATAGAATAATGTCCCCCCGATGTCCATGTCCTGATCCCCAGAACTGTGAATATGATACCTTACATGGCAAAAGGGACTTTACAGATGTGATTAAGGACCTCAAGATGGAGAGATTATCCATGTGGGTTCTATCTAATCAAAAGGGTTCTTATGAAAGAGAGGTAGAAGGATCAGAGAGAGGAGATGTGATAACACAGCAGGGGCGGGGGCGGGGTGGGAGAGAGAGAGAGAATGAGAATGAGAAGCACAAACATGCCAGAGAGCTGCTGGCTTTGAAGACAGAGGAAAGGGCCACGAGACAAGAAATGCAGGCGACCTCGAGAAGCTAGAAAAAGCAATAACTTCCAGGAGGAATACACCTCTGTTGCCAATACCTGGATTTTAGTCTCTAAGATCCATCTCAGATTTCTGGCCTCCAGACCTATAAGATAAATGTGTGTTGTTTTAAGCCACTAAGTTTGTAGTAATTTGCAGCAGCATAGAAAACTCATACACACATCTTTGGCCAGATCTTAGTAACCTGACCACACCCATCAGGGAAGCTGGTAAAACAGTGTTTAATTCTGGGCAACAAGGTGCTCAGCCAAAGCAGGGTTTTATTACTAAGGAAGGAAGGAGAAATGGATGCTGGGACTGGTAATAGCAGATTGCTTTGCAGGGCTATTACATGAACTAGAGGGTCTCTACACTTAGGACAACAGAAATGTATTCTTCTCACAAGAGAACTGGCCACATCTTGAATCCATCTTGAGGAAATATACCCAAGAAGTTAGCATAAAAAACTTCAGAAGTACTGTGGCAACTGATTCAAAAAGGATTCCAATTACGTTTAGGGCAGAACATCTTCTGGAATGCCTATGTTAGCTGAAAGATACTGATCACAAATGCGGTGGCCTGGAGGATTTGCAAGCCCAGCTGTGAAGTTTAGAGGCTCAAACAGGGCTTTGAGTTTGAAAGAAAGAACTCACTCAGCTATCAGTCAGACTTTTGGTCTCTAAAATTTTTCTTGTTAAAGTCAGGTCATGAGCAAAGCTACTAAGAATCTATGTTCTCTTTTTGTCCTAGTTAAATGTGAGGACTGACACAGAGATTGCAGATAGATCATCAGAGAGAAGCTGCTGGTTAAAAAGCACTTGGTTTACATCACAGAGGCTCAAGAGATGTTTTTTGAACAAAGGAAGAGAATGAGTGAGTAAATAAACATATGAATTTAATGGATTTCAGGAGGGTTTTACTATTCATTCAACATGAGGGCCTTCTATATTCTAGGACTATGTTGACTGCTGGATACAATGCCAAGTAAGATGTGGCCCTACACTCCAGGGGCTTGAAACCAGGGAGAAGACAGATGAATAAACTAATGTTTACTTGTTGAGATCAGCCTGGGCAAGATAGCAAGCCTCTAAACTTCACAGCTGGGCTCACCAATCCTCCAGGCCACCGGAATTGTGATCAGTAACTTTCAGCTAACATAGGCATTCCAGTGCATTGAATGCTACAGAAGATATATTTTCAGGAAGCATGGACAAGGCCCTACATCAGACCTGGGTGCTCAGAACACTTTGCTGAAGGAGGTAGGGCTTGAGATACATTAAAAACATTTTTTAAAAAATTAAAAATGAAAACTTTTTAGAGACAGGGTCTCGCTCTGTCACCCAGGCTGTAGTGCAGAGGTGAGAGCAGAGCTCACCGTAGCCTCAAATTCCTGGTGTCAAGCGATCCTCCTGCCTCAGTGTTTGGAGTAGCTGAGACTATAGGTGCATGCCACCACCTCTGGATAATTTTTTAATTTTTTTGTGGAGATGAGAGCTTGCTACCTTGCCCAGGCTGATCTCAAACTCCTGGGCTCAAGAGATCCTCCTGCCTCAGTTTCCCAAAGTTTGGGGATGACAGATGTCAGTCACTGTGCCCAGCCTTGAGCTGAATGTTAACGGACACGTTGGAATTTGCTAGGTAAGGTAAGGTGGCATTGCAGGATGAGAGAGCAGCATCTTCAAAGCCACGGAATCATGGAACACAACATCAGCAAACATTTACATAGGGCTTACTATTTGCTAGGCACTGTTCTCAGCAGTTTACACATATTCGCCCATTTGTATGCACAGCAACCTGATGAAACGGGTGGTCATCATCCCCCCCTTTTCAGATTAAGAAAGTGAGGCAGAGAGAGGTTAGGTGACTTGCCCAAGGTCACATGGTCTGTAGTAAGTGGCAAAGAGCTGGGATGCAAACCGAGAGTTTGGCTCTGGACTCAGGGTGAGTCATCTTGTACACTCGGAAGGAGGGCTGGGGAGTTGAGTCGTGGAGGCAAGAGGAGCTAGAATTTGAAAGCTACAGAAGACCATTAACAGGTTTTAAGCAGGGGAGCTTCCTCTACATCCTACTTACGATGCTCTCTTGCCTAAAAAGACTTTTTTAGTTAGGCTTTTCTTGACTTTCTGGATTATTCTTTTTTTTTTAATTTTTATTTTCATTTTAAGTTCTGGGGTAACATGTGCAGGATGTGCAGTTTCGTTACTTAGGTAAATGTGTGCCATGGTGGTTTGCTGCACCTATCAACCCATCACCTAGGTATTAAGCCCAGCATGCATTAGTTATTTTTCCTAATGCTCTCCCTCCCCATACCCCAACCCCCGACAGGCCCCAGTGTGTGTTGCTCCCCTCCTTGTGTCTGGAACATTCTTACCAAACCAAGAAACAGGGTGGCCAGTCTCCAAGCTGCCTAGGAGAGGGAAGTTATTTCTAGTTTCAACCTGTGATTTGTTTTCAGGCAATTTCTGGGGACAGGTGATCCAGAAAACAGGCGGAGTATGGGAAATTCTTTGCATCACATGAAACCACCAATCATTTCTGACCGTGTCTCAACATTCTAAACACCTCTTGCCAGTCAAGTTGCGTGTGGTCATTGGACGGTTCAGGGCTAAGGAAATGAATAGGAAATAATCACTTATACCCTATGAGTTCCACTCCCCAGACGGAGCTACAACACGGACCTATGACTGATTCTTCATCATCCTTACTCCCCACATTAGAATGGTGTGTGACACTCTCTTTCCACAGTGTCTGCTGGCTGCCATTAGACTGTATTTGGCTGTGATTGTAGAATTTGACTAAATATTTCCTTCTGCTTCAAGTGGCTACTCTTAGAAACATGGTCCTGGGGTCATAGAATTTTGTTAAAATAAACAACAACCAAAAGGGTAGCATGTGGCTTATTTCCCAGGTTTATGGCTCCCACTCATCCACACTTTCTGGAAGCAGAGATGCTTTAGCTGGGGTGAGATGAAGACCCTTCTTCTGTTCTACCGCCTGAAGGAGGTGGGATGGACAGGAGCAAGGACTAACTGGGCTCCTCAGGAATGCATTATGAGGTTACTGTTCTAAGAAAGATACATTGCTTTCTGATTAAGGACTAAAACTTATAAATAGATCTGGTTAAGCAAATGTTCTGGGTCTCTCTTCCATGATCCTTCCTCTTGCATGTCTTATCTTCTCCACTGTCTCTTCTCTTGTGCATGGAGCTACCCATTACTTGGGACACGTCTTTACTCCTGGAAGGTGAGACACCAAGGCAGAGGCTGTCTCCCTCCCTCCTTAAATGATATCCCTCACTTTTTTGGATCATGTAGAATTGTTAGCTGCCAGAACTAACAATTTCTAGTCAGGACTAGAAAACTGACTTGGTACAAGGCAACTGGGCCACGCCCATCAACATAGCCCAGGACTGGTTCTGAGGAGGAAATTACCCTTGCCAGAGGACAAAGGACTCCTGTCCCTTATAACCCTGGCTCCTGGGGTCTATGTCAATGTCTAACAGGGACACATCTAATCAGCAGAGCCTGAATCACATTCAGTGTCCTGGCTGCACCCAGAGATGGGCAAGGTAGTATCTAAGATTTCTAGCTTCTACTGTTGGAGTGGTCTTAGCCCCTAACAACATTCATTAGTTAGGGGTTTCCTAATCCAAAGCAAGACACTCACATTTGGACACAGAAGACAAGTGACCAATATCCCCTAAATTCCCCTCTTCACCCCCAGATTCAAAATGAGAAAATCCCAAATACCAAGACCAGGGAAGTCTTAAGGGAAAAAAGGCAAAAAGATATCCTGGACTATCACTGGAATAAGAGGAGAAAAGGCGGTCCAAGCTGAACGGCCACTGGGAGATCCAGCGAGAATTTGGCCAGAGGGCTCTCCCTGTCCATATCCCTTGGGGGCCTGGTGATGGGTGCAGGGACCTTGGAAAGTAGGAGGATGAGATTCTAAGAGCTAACATCTGGTTAGGAGAAAGATAAGTATAAAGCACTCTACAGTACCATACAATATATGTCCCTGAGGTGGGCACTTCACTTGAGGCCAAGAGATGAGACCAGCCTGGGAAACATGGTGAAATCCCGTGTCTACTAAAATAAAATAAAATAAAATAAAATAAAATAAAATAAATAAAACAAAATAAAGTGTGGTGGTGCATGCATGTAATCCCAGCTACTTGGGAGGCTGAGGCATGAGAATCACTTGAATATAGGAGGCAGAGGTTGCAGTGAGCCAAGATCGCACCACTGCATTCCAGCCTGGACAATGGAATGAGACTCTGTCTCAAAAAGAAAAATGAAGAGCCAAACCAACTGGGTGCTTGTTAAGATAGCAGATTTCAGGGCCCTATCTCATCAAGTATAGGATGAGCCTTGAAGTCTGCATTTTATTCACAATTCCCCAGGGTGATTTTGGAGCAGGTGGTTACAGTCCATATTGAAGAGTTCTGCTGCTACACAGAGCAGGCATCTGGTCCACCTAAAGAATCCTCATACCCAGATTCCTTGTTGTTTCCAAGTGTACTGTAAGATCCTAGTACATATGGACTTTTGCAGCCCTGTATAGTATACATGCTTAATAAATGTTTGCTGCATGTGTGATGCAACACTTGCATACCCATTATTCAGGCTGTCTCCTGGGCTTCTGAACTTCACCCCTTCAGTTGGATGGAAATCGATAGCCAGCAGGGGAAGGAAAAGACCCAGGAGAGGTCTGAATGAAGCAGAGCAGAACAAAGGAATGTTTCCTGGATTAAATAATATTTTCTGGGCCCTGCAGACCACAGACACCAGCTGTTCTGGGTTTTAAAGCCATGGTTGCAACCCTCAAGAAGCATGCCCATGGGTGATCAGCATTTGGGAGGCAAGATAAAACAAATGATCCTGAAGATCACAAAGAAAGTGCCTGCATAGGATCTGTCTACTCATGCCCTGGTGAAGAAACACAACAACAACACCACACAGAAAAAAACCCCAAAACCAAAACCCAAAAGCCTGCAGGTGCCAGGAACATACTGGGGCTCTAGGAGAGAAGGCTTTCATAACTCAGAAAAGGTGGCAATTTTGCTGAGTACAACTGAGGACATCTCAGCTGGAGACCTAGGGCTGGGTGCACATCCCAAGCTGTTGTGCAGCCAACAAAGGTGAACGTTGTGCATGCTTATTTCCTGTCTTTCCCCCTCCTCTGTCTGCAGAAGAGAATTCTGGCCTGACCCCTGCAGTTTCTTCCCACCCTCAAAGGAGAGTCCTTGATCAGCCATAACATTCTTGGGCTTTTGTGAATGTGAATCGGGGAGAAACTGGAAGTGAGGTGAAGAAAGAGGCAAGTTAAATAATGACTGGAGGGTTTTAATGTTTTGTTTAGTTTTGGGTGGAGATGTTAGAGAAGAGATAATACAGACTATCTATCACGTGTGAGCGAAGTGGATGGGAGAATGGAAAGGTTATTTTAAAGAATGGCTGTCTGCATATATGGATCCCCTTCCTGAAGTTTGAGAGCTATATGTACTTTGCATTTTCTCCAGGTTGCATGGAGGGTGTTGTATTAGTCCATTTTCATACTGCTGTAAAGAACTGCCAGAGACTGGTTAATTTATAAAGGAAAAAGGTTTAATTGACTCACAGTTCAGCATGGCTGCGGAGGCCTCAGGAAACTTACAATCGTGGCAGAAGGTGAAAGAGAAGCAAGGTACCTTCTTCACAAGGCGGCAGGAAGGAGAAGTGCAGAGCAAAGTGGGGAAGAGCCCTTTGTAAAACCATCAGATCTCATGAGAACTCACTATCATGAGAACAGCATGGAGGAAACCGCTCCCATGATTCAGTTACCTCCTGGTCTCTCCCTTGTCACAACGGGATTACAGGGATTATAAGCCAAGATGAGATTTGGGTGGGGACACAAAGCCTAATCATATCAGCTGTCTTTTAACACTGCTGCAAGCCTTCCTATTTATGTAGCCCATCTATGACAAGGCTTCCCTGGGCTACTTCTATCCTATGGCACCTGTGCACATCTGGAGGCCACGTAAGCACATTATAATATCTTCTCTAAAAATGCAGATTTAAGTTCTGATGAATGATATGTTTCTCCTCAAATTCCCATTCCCCCTATGCCCAGTCTCTTTTTCTGGCTGGCTTCATTCTGTTGTCCCCAACCTCTCCTCTACTCTCCTTCATAGGCTTCTCCAAATGCCTCAGGTGGCAAAAATCCTGGCCTTCATAAGCCAGACAACAGTCTCAGCAGGAGACTAGAATGAATTAACTGATCACTGACTTCTTTTTGTTTTTCAAGAATATACCTGGGGCCCTCAACATCCACTCACCCTGCCACATATGAAGTTAAGAATGCCTAATTTAAACCTAGCCATGCAGGATGGAAGTGATTCCCAAAGTGTGGTCCTAGAGCAGTATCAATATCACTTGGGAATTTATTAGAAATGCACATCCCTTTTTTTATCTGAGACAGAGTCTTGCTCTGCCACCCAGGCTTGAGTGCAGTGGCATGATCTTGGCTCACTACAACCTCTGCCTCCTGGGTTCAAGCAATTCTTGTGCCTCAGCCTCCTGAGTAGCTGGGACTATAAGTGTGTGCCACTACACCTGGAAACTTTTTTTGTATTTTAGTAGAGACAGGGTTTCACCATGTTGCCTAGGCTGGTCTTGAACTCCTGAGCTCAGACAATCCACCCGCCTTGGCCTCCCAAAGTGCTAGGATTACAGGTGAGAAATGCACATTCTCAGGCTTGCTCAGCCTTGCAGAATCACTCCTTCTAGAGGAGGGGTCCAGACACTTGTGCTTGAGCAAGACCTCATCCAGTTGACAACCACTGACTTAGGAAAAAGTTTGGAAAGGGTGGATTCCTTTTTACCAACAGCATCACTATCTATATTTCTACAGGATTGAAAGTGCTACAGGTTGTACCCACCGGGCCTTCTATTCTCAAATCAGAGATAAGACCTGCTTCCTATCTGTTGCAGCAAGGCTGCTCTTCAGTTGTTACATGGAGTCGAACCAGAGGCTACAGGAGCCATCACAAGTGGGTAACAGAAGTTATTTGACCATTGATGAAGAGAACTCTGCACTGAATGCCTGTACACCCCAGTAACAGATCAATCCAGAGAGGGCTGAGCCTCCTCTTTGCCACTCACTGCTTCGAACATTCAGAGAGAGCCTAGGAGATAACAAATGCTGCTAGGGCTCTCTCAGAAACACCATCACTCCTGGGCGAACTGAATCTCCCACAGAGAAATCCTCACATCTGTCCATTCATTCATCTGTTCATCCACTGCCATCTACCATCCACCCACCCACTCATCCATCCATCCATCCTCTGATCCAACTAATACATAAATATGTATTAGGTGACCTGTAACTTTGCCGTTAGAAATGTTGAGACCAACTAATTCCCCCTCATCCTTGGTGAGTAAAATCCAAGTGCCTCTGGAATCCTGTTATTTCTCTGTCTCATCTCTATATTGCTTTGAGCTTCTTCTTTCCTTAATCAGTCCTCTTCCCACTTCCACACACACATCTGGAACATCTGTTCTCTGGCTCCATTGGTGAGATAAGTCCCCATCTAGCCTTTGCCTAAGCTAAGGATCCCTTTACCGCTTGGTCTTCACTGACTTCCAGGTGGTCTTTTCCAATGCCCTTTGTTCTTTTCACCTGCTCCCACCTCTGCCACCTAAATTGGGGTTGGAAGGGAAAATGAGCATCTTTCTTGCTTTTTGATGCCCTTCACGACATTCCTCCTTTCTCTCATGTAAAAATTCCTGATTATTTTGGCTTGTATATTCCACTAGAGTCCTCTCTACTACTCCAAGCAATTTTAAAACAAAAAGAGTAAGATACTTTGAATTTGAAGGACTTTGGGGTAGAAGACAGGGAACTGAGAAGCTAACATATCAAATGGGTCCCCTTCATGGATAATGGTGTCACCAAGGATAATGGCAGGTTTGGGGTGGAGAATAAGGTTGTGATCCAGGTGCCAAAGTCTACCCTGAACGAGGAGGAGTTAACAAAAATAGAGAGATGATAAGCAAGACTCCTCCATCCCTGCCACCTAATTTGGGGTTAGGAGGGAAAATGAGTATAACAAACTACCCCCAACAGAATAATCACTTATCTTACACAGAAATCTGCAATTTGGGCAGAGGTTGGTCGGCTCACCTCACTTTGCTCAATGCAACATCAGTTAGGGTAGGCTAATTAGGAGCAGGAGGATCTACAGTAGTCTCTGTTTATCCACAAGGGATATGTTCCAAGACTCCCAGTGGATACCTACAACAGCGGATAGTACTGAATCCTACATATACTATGTTTTTTCTATACATACATACCTATGATAAAGTTTTATTTATAACTTAGTCATAAGAGATTAACAACAACTAATAAGAGAAAAATCATAGCAATATACTGTAAGAAAAGTTATGTAAATAAAAGTTATATAGTCTCTCTCTTACAATATCTTATTGTGCTATATTCACCTATTTTTGGGCCACGGTTGACCATGGATAACTGAAACCTCAGAAAGTAAACCTTGAACCTACAGTACTTTCAAGATGACTCACATGGCCAGCAAATTAGGCTGATGGCCAGGAGCTCAGCCAGGGATGTGAGCTGGGCACTTCTGTTCCTTTCCATGTGGTCCTTTCCACAGAGTTGCTTGGGCTTCCTCACAGCAGGGCAGCTGGATTCTAAGCACAAACATCCCAAGAGAGCAAGGCAGAAGTGCATTGAATGTTTATGATTTAGCCTTGGCAGTTTCATAGTGTTGCTTCTGTTCCACCTTTTGGGATGGAGAGGTGATAGTTCCACAACAGTATGTGGGACACAAGATATTATTCCAGACATCTTTGGAAATACAATCTGTCACACAAGATCAGCCCTCAAAATCTTGCTAACCCATGCCACCCATGTGGAAAAGGAGCTTAAGAGAGACTTCATCAAATCATAAAACTTTAGGAATATGATGGGACAAACTGTTAAGGAAGTTAAGAATTTATTATGCCAAACTGAAGTAGACAGAGCAAGGGATTCGGACTAAAACTGTTTAAATCCTAACTTTACCACTTACTGTGTACAACCTTGGGAATGTCACTCAACCTCTCTGAGCCTCAGCTTCTCCATCTACAAAATGGGAATAATAAATGTATCTTTCCTACTTGACACAAACAATCAGATGGAGTAATGCCAAGATAAGTGCTCTCAATACCATAAAATAGTTTGCTCTACACCTTTGCAGGCCAACAACGGCCTAATGGTCATCCAGATTTTTGTTTCTATGATAGAGGAAGAAGCACTCAGCTATGTGTGTGGCATCCTGGACTTTGTGGCCAGTCTTACTCTTTATTAATTATGTGATATTGAATAAGTCATGTAACTTTTCTGAGTCTCAGTGCGGTCATGGAAGAATAACGCCACCTGCTCTGCTTAACTCTAAGAATTATGTTAAGGGCTTAATATACATGAACTCAGAGGCTTATGAAAAGAACTTAGTAATATAGCTTAGATCACTTGGTAAGTTCAACATAAACATACGTTCGCAACAAAAATTAACATAAATATTATAATTATATTATCATCTAAGCAGCTATGAGTTTTTAGAATTTTTTTGTTAAAAGAGTTTATTTTAACAAAAACTTTAGAAAATATAGCTAAGCAAAAAGAAGAAAATAAAGGTCAAACAATTTTACCGCTTAGATTCTCTTTCTCTTTTCCCTACCTTCTTCATTTTTAATATTCTAGTACGATAGCGTATCACTTCCTTTAGCTGAAGAAGTAGTTTTCCATTTTCTTTTTGCAATGATAAGCCACAAAGCAATAAGCAGGTGAAACTTTTTATGCCTCCTATAATTTCCTTAAGATAAATCTCTAGAAGGAAAATTTCTGGGTCATTTTCAAGGTTTCAAAACATACCATACAACCAGCTTTCAAAACATGTTGAACCAAATTATCCTCCCTTTGAAAGTACGTACATGTGCTAGGCTGGATTTGTATTCTTGTTTATTTTTGCCAATCTGATTGGGAAAAAATGATACCCCATTTAGGAAAATAACTATGTTTTTATAAGTGAGATTCAAATGTTTCTAATACATTTATTGGCCATCGGTATTTATTCTATTTGGGTACTAATATTTGTATACTGATTAACAGGAATTCGTTAAGTATTAAGGATGTAACAGTTTATCTGAAATTCATGTTATAAGATTTTCCCCTTCTGGCCGGCTGCGGTGGCTCACGCCTATAATCCCAGCACTTTGGGAGGCTGAGGTGGGTGGGTCATTTGAGGTCAGGAATTTGAGACCAGCCTGGGCAACATGGTGAAACCCCGTCTCTACTAAAATTACAAAAATTAGCTGGGTGTGGCAATGTGTATCTGTAGTCCCAGCTACTTGGGAGGCTGAGGCATGAGAATTGCCTGAACTCGGGAGGTGGAGGTTGCAGTGAGTCAAGATTGTACCACTACACTCTAGCCTGGGTGACACAGTGAGACTCTGTCTCAAAAAAAAAGATTTTCCCCTTCCAATCCATCAATTCTTTCTTTTATGGTTTCTGCCTTTGGTATTATGCTCGCAATATTGCCGAGACTTTTTAAGGGATGTGCTTTCATTAGCTGTTGTTGAATTAATTTATTCATTCATTCAGCAAACACTTACTGAATGTTTCCTGCATGTCAGGCACCGTTCTCAGCACTGTTGCATCTTCTGAAGCATGGAGCCAAACTCAGGATGAAGACAACCATCACTGAAGGGTTTGTAAACTGAAATATGCAGAAACCCCAAACACATTCCACTCTATTGAAAGACCATCTGCACAGGGAAAGTTTTGGTTCTGGGCAGGGATTATAGCATTGCCCCCCCAGAACTCAGATGCCTGGATCTGATGGCATCTTACAATGAATAAAATCCATATAAACAAGATGATGTCCAGAAAATACTAATGCAAATATCCGTGAATGCAAAGGATTAAAATCACACTAAAAAGTATTAATAGTATTTTTTTCCATATCAGCCAAGGAGGAATAATCAGCAATGATATAATTTTTCATTTCATTAGGAAGTTAATACAGATATGATTTATCCTCTGGGAATCTTTTTTTACAACCCCTCTGAAACAAAGACTCCCAGCAAGGGAAGAATTATACCTCCTTTAAGAGTTTTCACCAAAAAAGGCCTGAAAGCAACAGAACGGCATCTCAGAATTACTGACCCTTGCCCGGACACGCATTAATTCCAGAACAGCTGCAATGCCCTCAGTTTGCTGACCCCTGAACTAAAAAAGCCTCTATTTATTTGTTACTCTTTACTTCTTTGAATCCTGCATTTTTCTTTTTAAGTGAAACATTTCAAGTTTCCAGAAAACTTACCCCCAAACTAAGTCCCATGCAAAAATTGCCAAGGACTCAAGCCCACAGCACTTGACACATTCTAGCAAAGACTGGAATAGGACAGAATACTTGGCCTGCCCTTGTGACTCCAGGAGAGGGCATGTGGGCTTCTCTAGGCAGAGCTCCAGGCCCTACCAGGAATAGCCCCAAGCAGGGTGGCAGCCCAAGGAGACTGTCCCACCTCCATTTACTGGAACCACCTCATGCCTGCTATGCTACCTGGATGGCTTCATCCTCTGAGGAAATGCCACCACGAGACTGGAAGCTACATGTGGAGAGGGATGGGTTTGCTTTTGCTTATCACAACCCCAGCCAGGCACTGAATGAATGACTGGATGAGAATGAAGCTTTCAACACTTCTATAATCCCTAGTGTCACAGCAGGGATCCTGACTTAACGATTTGTATGTAGTAAATGATTTGGGAATGAATATTTTGTTTTGACTTTTATTTTAGGCTCGGGGGTACATGTGCAGGTTTGTTATATGTATAAATTGCATGTCGCTGAGGTTTGATAGACAAATGATCCCGTCACTCAAGTACTGAGCAAAGGACCTGCTGGTTGTTTTTCACCCCTCGTCCCCCTCCCACCCTACCCCCTCTAGTAGTCTTCAGTGTCAGTTACTATTATCTTCGTGTCCATGAGGACCCAATGTTTAGCTCCCACTTATAAGTGAGAACACATAGTATTGAGTTTTGTGCCTCTGCTTTAATTTGCTTAGGATAATGGCCTCCAGCTCCATTCCTGTTGCTGTGAAGAATACGACTTTATCCTTTTCATGGCTGTGTAGTATTCCATGGTGTATGTGTACCACATTTTTTTTTACACAATCCATTGTTGAATGAATACATTGTTAACAATTATTTCCATCTCATCTTGTATCTTATAATTAGAGACCAGACATCAGCTTTTGAGGGGAAAAAAGCAGCCCAGGGCCATCAGCGTGAGCCTGAGGGCCAGGTAAACATGACATGGGGTGGGGGGACATATGGGTGGAAAACCACAGTCTCCATAAATGGGACAAATTTCTGTCTATTTCACGACTTTGTCTGTGGCTATGTCTGGCACCCATGTTCTCTAAAAAGATTCTTTTCCATCTCATATTCCTCACTATATTCAACACGCTGCTAGGGGATGGCCCTCTTCACAAATCCTTTTCTAAACTACCTCCCACGTGACTCAACTCTCTGACTCACCTGCCGTGTGGCCACCTGTCAGGCCCTTCTACTCTTGATAGTCTTTTTCTTCCTTTGTGGGTTAAAACAATGGAAATTTATTCTCTCCCAGTTCTGAAGGCCAGAAGTTAAAAATCAAAGTGTCGGCAGAGTTGGTTCTTTCTACAGGCTCTGCAAGCGAGTCCGCTCCATGCCCTCTCCTGGCTCTGCTGCTGAGCATCCTCGGTGCTCCTTGACTTGCAGATGGGCCCTGGATCTCCGCCTCCATCCTCACTTGGCCTTCCTCTCCCAGTTCTCTTTCTGGGCTTAATAAGCGAGTCCACTTGTGTTTGACCTCCTCTGCCCTCAGAATGGCAAATTCCCCCACATCTGTCACCACTGTGCTTGGCCCTTTGATGCTCCTCATAATGACACCCACTCTCATGGGGACACATACAAGCTGTGGGCACCCACTCCCCAATCTTGGACAAGGACGAGGGGTGAGGCTGCTCTCCTGAGTACATAGGGCTCTCCCAGTCTCTTGGGCTGGCCTGCTGAACTGGACCTGAGCTTTCCTGGAAAACAAAAAAAGCGAGACTTCTTTCTCTCGCCCACTTGACTCTGCAGCTCCAGTTTGGACTTATTTCTCTAGATTTGTTTTCCCCAAGATTGCAGATACTAACAAGAAATTACTAAGCTATCTCACTCTGTTATTATAACTTATAATAAATATACTACTTTATATTATTATATATGTTGATTGATATTATAGCATAACTCAGATGTAAAGCTCATATTGCCGTTCTAAGTATATAAGAATTTTATTTTTACATCCCATTTGTATTAGTCCATTTTCATGCTGCTGATAAAGACATACCTAAGACTGGGCAATTTACAAAAGAAAGAGGTTTAATGGACTTACAGTTCCACGTGGCTGGGGAGGCCTCACAATCATGGCAGAAGGCAAGGAGGTGCAAGTCATGTCTTACATAGATGGCAGCAGGCAAAGGGAGAGCTTGTGCAGGGGAACCTCCCCCCATTATGATACCATCATATCTCATGAGGTTTGTTCTGTATCACAAGAACAGCATGGGAAAGACCTGCCCGCATGATTCAATTACCACCCACCAGGTCCCTCCCACAACATGTGGATTTGAGTGTGAACACAGACAAGCCATATCGCCATTTAATCTGTGGAATGATTCTGTGAGGTCAGCCGGGAGCATGATTCCTGCCTTTCAGAAGAGGAAACGGGAGCCCAGTCTTTCTTGCAGCCCACAGCAAGTTACATAGCACAGTGGCCTCCAAGGGAGGAGGAATGGGGAGCTGTACACAGGGTGCAGGCGATAAGGGGTGCAACTGCCCAGGAACAATATACATATCATAAAATACCTCAGTGATGAATACTTTCTCCCCTTGGTGCTCCACTGATGCTGGGACTAGAGCCGAGCCGTGGGGTTTCTAAGCCGGTGCTGTCTCCCCTCTACCACGGCCCCTCAAGGTCAAAGCAGAGGTGATTTTAGAAGCTCCTGGAGGGGCACATCCCACATATTCAATTCACAGTCAGGAGAAACTAAATCCTCTTTTCTCAAAGGGGTGTGTTAGGTCAGCCTGGGGTGGGGAGGCAGTCCCCAAAGGCATCACGTTAGAGCTGGGAATTCTGAACTTTGGTGATACCACTTCTCTGTTCTGGGTGTAAGACATTTCAATACAGTCTTTGGCTTAGTTTAAAATGTAAATAATTACATTTCTCATAGTTTTGATGACCAGGAAGATCCTACCCCACCCTCACTCTATAATCCCTGACTCCCAGCCCGTGGCGCCACACCTCATCTCCGTATGGCTCATCACCCCATCCCGCCAGATCACTGCTCTGACTCCAGTCCCATCCCTTCCCCTCACCCCACATTTCTGGTGAAAATTATTCGAACCAATCCATGCTGCTTGCTGTCATTTTCCTGACTTCACAGGGGAAAAGAGATCCTCTCCAAGTTTTAAGACAGATTATCGGTACAAAAAAAAAAAAAATCTAGCTGCGTCCATCTTTTGGCAGAAACAGTCTGTTGGCTGAAAGCAGAAGTGATTTGGGCATGAACCGGTGTCCTTGCTCGAGGCCGGCATTCCTTTCTGCCTTATTTTCAATCACGCCTGGGGTGCAGTTCACATTATCACCACGAAGGGGCGCCGTTGCTCTGGAAAGCCACAAGGCTTCTGCAGGCAACTGCCTTCAGTTAAGAAAAACTGCCAGGTTACAGGAATGTGATATTGATTTTTGATTTCTTTTAAATTAATAATCAATGGCGTTCTGAATACTGCTTAATTTCTTATTTGTAGAGGTACAGAGCTGAAGCCTGTTAGATGTCGTTTACGGCATTTTCCAGAGGCAAATAATGAGGGCTCAGGGATACCTTGGTAGCAGCTAAATTACTAGTGAAGGTTTTTCATGAGTTTAAAAGTGTTCTTGGACCTTCAGGTAATATGAATTAAATATTAATATGTTAATTGCAAAGGTCCAAAAGATAAAAGGGAAAAAAATGAATTCACAGGAAAGAAAAGTTTTACGTTTATTAAAGGATGGGGGTGGGGGCAGGGTTAGCTGAAGGGAACAGGAATCATACTATACCAGACCTCACAAATTATGCAGCAATGATGACTGGTTATTAAAAAGTGTAATTAAGCCAGAAGTTCCAGAATTTAGGAGACTGTGGATTAGAGGCCTAGATTCCTCAAAGTATCTGCAGCAAATCCTGATTCCCAAATCTCTAGCTTCTCCCAATGTAAAGTGGGTGCTTATTCTTGCCTGCAGACAGTTAGCATCTGGCTAATATTAACTTCAAATATGTAATTTTGGAGACCCTCAAATAGAACAGGTTATAAAAACGTAACACCCTCCTGGCATTGTGAGACCCTTGTTAGCCACATGTTTATGCCAGGAGATCAGTGCAAAGAAAATTGGAGGCAAGCCTGGGGTTTGAGACTTACTTCTGCCACGAACTTGGTACACTGAGTGAGTCACATATCCAAATTCTTTCTTCTTTCATCTGTAAATTGAAGCTTTTAGCTCAGCTTCCCTCTGAGTCCATTCTGATTCTGACAAACACCTCCCTCCCCATGTTCGGCCCACATGGCGACAGCCTTCCTGGCCTTCCCATCCACTTCTCTGTCTCACACCCTTAGGGGGGCAGATTGGACCATTTTGCTCTACTTCTCTCCACCTAGAATGTCCTTCTTCCCGTTCCACTGCATTTCTATGTTTTTAAATTCCTACTTCAAGTCTCAGGGCAAACGCCACCCGCTCTGAGAAGCATTCCCTGATACCACAGAGGCAAAGAGTCTCCCCTCCTTTATGATTTTGCTGCTCTTTACCTATACTTCTCTTCAGCACCTGCCCTTTTCTCTTTTGGGTTATGATGATTTCAGGAGCCTTTTTGCAACAGCCAGGTCTCCAGGGGCATGACTGACATTGATTTATCCATCCCACAGGGTCCAGCTCAGTGGCCAGCACAAAGCAGGAACCAAGGAAATGGCTGATTAACAGTCACATGTGCACAGACACATTGTATTTTGTGCAGAGCATCTGGGCTCGACTTAAACACTGATGTTCAGCCGATAGGATTTGGTTCCTGGTATACCCGCACTGTCTCTCTCCTACAATTCAGGCCGGCAGTCTTGGACTCTGAGTCAGACTGCCTGAGTTCAAAGCCTGGCTCTGCCACTTCCCAGCTATGAGAGCTTGGACAAGTTGCTGAACTTCTCTGTGCCTCCATTGCTCACCTATGCAGTGAAGATAATGACAGTATTCTCTTCATACAGCTGCCGTGCAGATAAAATGAGCGAATACTTGTAAGACACTTGAAAAAGTACCCAGTGTAAAGCAAGCTCTCAAAAAATGCTACTAGCTTTAAATAGTATTTTTACTACTACTAATCAAAAGATAACAACCATGGGACTTCTTGCCAGTTAGCAGTATCCTTCTCTAATGGTAAGAACAAAATATCCCCTTGTGTTTATCCTGGTGCCCATTCATGTCTCTAGTTAGTTTTACTGGCATCCACTGTAGAAGGCTGGGAAACGCATCCAAGGCAGCCCGCTCCCTGGGTGGGCTCCAGCTTTGGGTCTTCACAGCAAATCTTAGTTTGGCAAAAGCCTTTAGTGCATGGAAAACAGATTAACTATCATTTCAGTCTGCCACCAGCCATTTGCTAAATTGCACAATTTGATATGGTGTGTGTCCTCCTGGACCCTCTCAGACCTGCCCAGGCGCCAGCCTTGCCTCTTATCTATATGGTGCTATGGCTGTAATTCATCTGACCACTTGTGACATGCATCCTCTCAGCAGATTTGTCTTTTTATCTGCTGCGATTCAAGGACAGAAGAAAGAAAAAGGAATGAAGAGAGGTGAGAATAAACAACAGGAGAATAAATACATTTCCAGGCACCTTCCATGCAAGGAGTTTTGAGACATTCTCTCTCTAGGTTAGAGCTCAGCAGTGGATGTGCCTCTCTATCCATCATTGGGCCTGCTCAGCCTGTATCTGGCTGTCCTATTGTTTCAGAGAAAACTCCTTTTTCTATCTTTCTGATCCTACTCTAATTTCCTTCTACCTCCTCTTAATCCTATTTCCTGGTAAAGAAGTTTATTTTGAAGCGGGCCGGGCGCGGTGGCTCATGCCTGTAATCCTAGCACTTTGGGAGGCCAAGGTAAGTGGATTGCTTGAGGTCAGGAGTTTGAGACCAGTCTGGCTAGCATGGTGAAACCCCATCTCTACTAAAAATACAAAAATTAGCCGGCTGTAGTGGCAGGTGCCTGTTATCCCAGCTACTTGGGAAGCTGAGGCAGGAGAATTGCTTGAACCCGGGAGGTGGAGGTTGCAGTGAGTTGAGATCATGCCATTGTACTCCAACCTGGGCAACAGAGTGAGATTCAGGCTCAAAAAAAAAAAAAGTTTATTTTGAAGAGAGACACTGGCAGTACAGATGATGTGTCCGCTTCATGGTCTTTTCCCATACTACCTAGATCTAGTAAAATGGGCCGTGGCTTTTGGCATGTATGTCCAGGTGGGGACAGGCAGATGGAGGAAAGGTGGGAGAATGATGGAAACAGGGAAAGCCTAACTTGTTTTTCTGCCCCCAAGTGTTCAGATCGCCCCCAAGCTATGCTATAAATCACTGTCACATTAAGCTTAAAGTACAGCCTGAGCTCTCTTGATCAAAAACTTGGGTATAAAAGGATGTGAAATTATGTGGTCCAGTTGCTTCTTGTTACAGATATGGAACCTGGGGACCAGTGGGGCAAAGAAGAATTAACAGCACCTACATAGCTCTGATTATGTCAAGCACTTCGTCTAAATGTTTGCACAGATGAACTCATTTAAGCCCCAGAACAACTCCGTGAGGTATGTACTGCTATTTTATGCATATTTTGTAGGTGAGGAAACAGAAGTGCAGGCTTGCTAAATAATGAGCCCAAGGTCATCTGGCTAATGAGTGCGGAACCCAGAGCTGGTGGCGGAGCCCATGCGGTTCTCCGAGTCACACTGCCTCCTAGCAGTGATCTGTCAATAGAGAGTGCCAGAGGGTCTACAAAGGTTTCTTGTCTCCAAATCCAGCTCCCCACTATCTGGGGGAAAAAAAAAGACGGCCCAAATCTTCAGCCTGGCTTTTTACACCTTCCCAGCATAATGCCAAACCCCCTTTCCAGCTCAGCTGCCACCTCCTCCCAAATGCACTTAATTGTCATGGCTGGCTGGCACAGTGAAGGAGTGATGTGTGAATGAATAAATGAAGGACTGAACCCTCCTAGGCTGACTTGGTGGGGGGGCAGTCATCTCCCTATTTGCAGTCATTCAGTTGACAGAGAATATTTGACAATGACCTCACCAACATTTCAATCAATCTTTCTCATTTTTTCATAGCTGAGTGCTTTTCACACAGCTCAGCTGGCAGGGAGCGCTGAAGAAACCAGAACGCTGGCGGCACAATTTCATGTCTGCCCTTCATGCAGGTGGCATGCTTAGGGAGTGGCGCTGATAAATCCCTGAAGGGTGACGTTCCACTGACCTGCCTGTGGTGGCAGCAGCAACAGTGACAGGGACGGTAATCATAGTAGCAGTCGTGATGCAGTGCTAACATCTACTAAGGCATACCCTGTGCCAGGCCCTGTTCCAAGTGTTTTATACACACCAATCAACCTGTCTAATCCTCATGCCATGGTTATAGGGGTATATATGCTATTATTAGACTCATGTTGTTGAGACATTGAGAGATTAAGAAACTGGCCCAAAATCACATAACTGGCATCAGAGGTGGTATCTGAACCTAGGCAGTCTGTTGTCAATGCTCATACTCTTAACCACACTCTTTAGAGAGCTCAGAGAGACAGGTTCTTGTTCCTTCCTGAGTTTGACTTCAGAGGATCATTTCCTTGTTTGCAATGGGGCAGCTACTGACACAGGTTATATTAGCACTACAGCCTAAGGTCAGGTGTCTACTGCTACTTCCTGAGAAGGGTTGTGGAGTCCAGCCCAAAGGCCTGAAACTCTAAACAGAGGATTTCAGCTTAATTTTTTTTTTCTTGGTAGGGGAGGAATCACTTTATAGTTTTAGTTTTAGGTTAACCTAATTAACTGAGAACACTTTGAGAAATTAAAGTTAATACAGTCAACTTACAAATCTGATACTTTATAAGTTTTAGGCTTAATACAAAGTACCGACATATTTGCAAAACTTTTCTCATTCAGAGCTGAAAGCAGGGGACAAGAAGAAAAGGAGACCCATCTTTATTAACTTTTGTCAGGGCTCAAGGTCCATGAGGGATAGGAACATTCAGATCAATGTTCCTTGAAATTGTGTAATGCATATAGAGCTCTGTTAAACAACAAATTCTCACAGTGCTCTGTTATTTATTTAGATTCTTTTAATTTCAATGCTACAAATGTAAAACTAGGAATAAACTTTTTTTTTTTTTTTTTTGAGACAGAGTCTCATTCTGTCACCCAGGCTGGGGTGCAGTGCGATCTTGGCTCACTGCAACCTCCGCCTCCCGGGTTCAAGCAATTCTCTTGCCTCAGCCTCCTGAGAAGCTGGGATTACAGGCACGCAACACCCCACCTGGCTAATTTTTGTATTTTTAGTAGAGTTGGGGTTTCACCACGTTGGTCAGGCTGGTCTTGAACTCCTGACCTCATGATCTGCCCGCCTTGGCCTCCCGAAGTGCTGGGATTACAGACGTGAGCTGTGCCAGATGTAGGAATAAACTTTTTATGCTTTTAGTTCTTATACAAGTGTACAATCAAATGAATGCACATAAACAGAGACAGAGAGGAGTAAAATTCAAATCAAGAAGCATTAATTCTTGTGATGGATGTTGCTTTGGTAACACTAATGGCCAATGTTGTGCATATCAGGTAAAACAATAGGCAGTTGCCGGGGGGGTGGAGCCAAGATGGCCGAATAGGAACAGCTCCAGTCTACAGCTCCCAGCATGACCAGCGCAGAAGATGGGTGATTTGTGCATTTCCAACTGAGGTACCGGGTTCATCTCACTGGGTAGTGCTGGACAGTGGGTGCAGGACAGTGGGTGCAGCGCACCGTGCGTGAGCCAAAGCAGGGCGAGGCATCGCCTCATCCAGGAAGCGCAAGGGGTCAGGAAATTCCCTTCCTAGTCAAAGAAAGGGGTGACAGACGGAACCCAGAAAATTGGGTCACTTCCACCCTAATACTGCCCTTTTCCAACGGGCTTAACAAATGGCACACCAGGAGATTATATCCTGCACCTGGCTTGGAGAGTCCTATGCCCACGGAGCTTCGCTCATTGCTAGCACAGCAGTCTGAGATCAAACTGCAAGGCGGCAGTGAGGCTGGAGGAGGGGCACCCGCCATTGCCCAGGCTTTAGGAGGTAAACAAAGTGGCCAGGAAGCTCAAACTGGGTGGAACCCACCACAGCTCAAGGAGGCCTGCCTGCCTCTGCAGCCTCCACCTCTGCGGGCAGGGCACAGACAAACAAAAGGCAGCAGTAACCTCTGCAGACTTAAATGTCCCTGTCTGACAGCTTTGAAGAGAGCAGTGGTTCTCTCAGCACGCAGTCTGGGCAGACTGCCTCCTCAAGTGGGTCCCTGACCCCCGAGTAGCCTAACTGGGAGGCACCCCCCCAGTAGGGGCAGACTGACACCTCACACAACCAGGTACTCCCCTGAGACAAAACTTCCAGAGGAACGATCAGGCAGCAGCACTTGCGGTTCACCAATATCTGCTGTTCTGCAGCCACCACTGCTGATACGCAGGTAAACAGGCTCTGGAGTGGACCTCCAGCAAACTCCAACAGACCTGCAGCTGAGGGTCCTGACTGATAGAAGAAAAACTAACAAACAGAAAGGACATCCACACCAAAAACATCACCATCATCAAAGACCAAAGGTAGATAAAACCACAAAGATGGGGGAAAAAAAGAGCAGAAAAAATGGAAACTCTAAAAATCAGAGCACCTCTCCTCCTCCAAAGGAATGCAGCTCCTCACCAGCAACGGAACACAGCTGGACGGAGAATGACTTTGACGAGTTGAGAGAAGGAGGCTTCAGAAGATCAAACTACCAGCTAAAGGAGGAAGTTCGAACCAATGGCAAAGAAGTTAAAAACCTTGAAAAGAAATTAAAAGAATGACTAACTAGAATAACCAATGCAGAGAAGTCCTTAAAGGACCTGATGGAGCTGAAAACCACGGCACGAGAACTATGTGACGAATGCACAAGCCTCAGTAGTCGATGTGATCAACTGGAAGAAAGGATATCATCAATGAAAGACGAAATGAATGAAATGAAGCGAGAAGAGAAGTTTAGAGAAAAAAGAATAAAAACAAACAAAGTCTCCAAGAAATACGGGAGTATGTGAAAAGCCCAAATCTACGTCTGATTGGTGTACCTGAAAGTGACAGGGAGAATGGAACCAAGTTGGAAAACACTCTGCAGGATATTATCCAGGAGAACTTCCCCAATCTAGCAAGGCAGGCCAACATTCAAATTCAGGAAATACAGAGAACGCCACAAAGATACTCCTTGAGAAGAGCAACTCCAAGACACATAATTGTCAGATTCACCAAAGTTGAAATGAAGGAAAAAATGTTAAGAGCAGCCAGAGAGAAAGGTCGGGTTACCCACAAAGGAAAGCCCATCAGACTAACAGCTGATCTCTCAGCAGAAACTCTACAAGCCAGAAGAGAGTGGGGACCAATATTCAACATTCTTAAAGAAAAGAATTTTCAATCCAGAATTTCATATCCAGCCAAACTAAGCTTCATAAGTGAAGGAGAAATAAAATACTTTACAGACAAGCAAATGCTGAGAGATTTTGTCACCACCAGGCCTGCCCTAAAAGAGCTCCTGAAGGAAGCACTAAACATGGAAAGGAACAACCGCAGTACCAGCCACTGCAAAAACATGCCAAATTGTAAAGACCATCAAGGCTAGGAAGAAACTGCATCAACCAATGAGCAAAACAACCAGCTAACATCATAATAACAGGATCAAATTCACACATAACAATATTAACCTTAAATGTAAATGGGCTAAATGCTCCAATTAAAAGACACAGACTGGCAAATTGGATAGAGTCAAGACCCAGCAGTGTGCTGTATTCAGGAAACCCATCTCACGTGCAGAGACACACATAGGCTCAAAATAAAGGGATGGAGGAAGATCTACCAAGCAAATGGAAAACAAAAAAAGGCAGGGGTTGCAATCCTAGTCTCTGATAAAACAGACTTTAAACCAACAAAGATCAAAAGAGACAAAGAAGGCTATTACATAATGCTAAAGGGATCAATTCAACAAGAAGAACTAACTATCCTAAATATATATGCACCTAATACAGGAGCACCCAGATTCATAAAGCAAGCCCTTAGTGACCTACAAAGAGACTTAGACTCCCACACAATAATAATGGGAGACTTTAACACCCCACTGTCAACATTAGACAGATCAACGAGACAGAAAGTTAACAAGGATATCCAGGAATTGAACTCAGGTCTGCACCAAGCGGACCTAATAGACATCTACAGAACTCTCCACCCCAAATCAACAGAATATACATTCTTTTCAGCACCACACCACACCTATTTCAAAATTGACCACATAGTTGGAAGTAAAGCACTCCTCAGCAAATGTAAAAGAATAGAAATTATAACAAACTGTCTCTCACACCACAGTGCAATCAAACTAGAACTCAGGATTAAGAAACTCACTCAAAACTGCTCAACTACATGGAAACTGAACAACCTGCTCCTGAATGACTACTGGGTACATAACAAAATGAAGGCAGACATAAAGATGTTCTTTGAAACCAAAGAGAACAAAGACACAACATACCAGAATCTCTGGGACACATTCAAAGCAGTGTGTAGAGGGAAATTTATAGCACTAAATGCCCACAAGAGAAAGCACGAAAGGTCTAAAATTGACACCCTAACATCACAATTAAAAGAACTAGAGAAGCAAGAGCAAACACATTCAAAAGCTAGCAGAAGGCAAGAAATAACTAAGATCAGAGGAGAACTGAAGGAGATAGAGACACAAAAAACCCTTCAAAAAAATAAATGAATCCAGGAGCTGGTTTTTTGAAAAGATCAACAAAATGGATAGACTGCTACCAAGACTAATAAAGAAGAAAAGAGAGAAGAATCAAATAGACGCAATAAAAAATGACAAAGGGGATATCACCACTGATCCCACAGAAATACAAACTACCATCAGAGAATACTATAAACGCCTCTATGCAAATAAATAGAAAATCTAGAAGAAATGGATAAATTCCTGGACACATACACCCTCCCAAGACTAAACCAGGAAGAAGTTGAATCTCTGAATAGACCAATAACAGGCTCTCAAATTGAGGCAATAATTAATAGCTTACCAACCAAAAAAAGTCCAGGACCAGATGGATTCACAGCCGAATTCTACCAGAGGTACAAGGAGGAGCTGGTACCATTCCTTCTGAAACCATTCCAGTCAATAGAAAAAGACGGAATCCTTCCTAACTCATTTTATGAGGCCAGCGTCATCCTGATACCAAAGCCTGGCAGAGACACCACATAAAAAGAGAATTTTAGACCAATATCCTTGATGAACACTGATGCAAAAATTCTCGGTAAAATACTGGCAAACCGAATCCAGCAACACATCAAAAAGCTTATCCACCATGATCAGGTGGGCTTCATCCCTGGGAGGCAAGGCTGGTTCAACATACGAAAATCAATAAACGTAATCCAGCATATAAACAGAACCAAAGACAAAAACCGCATGATAATCTCAATAGATGCAGAAAAGGCCTTTGACAAAATTCAACAACGCTTCATGCTAAAAACTTTCAATAAATTAGGTATTGATGGGATGTATCTCAAAATAATAAGAGCTATCTATGACAAACCCACAGCCAATATCATACTGAATGGACAAAAACTGGAAGCATTACCTTTGAAAACTGGCACAAGACAGGGATGCCCTCTCTCACCACTCCTATTCAACATAGTGTTGGAAGTTCTGGCCAGGGCAATCAGGCAGGAGAAGGAAATAAAGGGTATTCATTTAGGAAAAGAGGAAGTCAAATTGTCCCTGTTTGCAGATGACATGATTGTATATCTAGAAAACCCCATCATCTCAGCTCCAAATCTCCTTAAGCTGATAAGCAACTTCAGCAAAGTCTCAGGATACAAACTCAATGTGCAAAAATCACAAGCATTCTTATACACCAATAACAGACAAACAGCCAAATCATGAGTGAACTCCCATTCACAATTGCTTCAAAGAGAATAAAATACCTAGGAATCCAACTGACAAGGGATATGAATGACCTCTTCAAGGAGAACTACAAACCACTACTCAATGAAATAAAAGAGGATACAAACAAATGCAAGAACATTCCATGCTCATGGGTAGGAAGAATCAATATCGTGAAAATGGCCATACCGCCCAAGGTGATTTATAGATTCAATGCCAACCCCATCAAGCTACCAATGACTTTCTTCACAGAATTGGAAAAAAACTACTTTAAAGTTCATATGGAACCAAAAAAGAGCCCGCATTACCAAGTCAATCCTAAGCCAAAAGAACAAAGCTGGAGGCATCACGCTACCTGACTTCAAACTATACTACAAGGCTACAGTAACCAAAACAGCATGGTACTGGTACCAAAACAGAGATATAGACCAATGGAACAGAACAGAGCCCTCAGAAATAATGCTGCATATCTACAACTATCTGATCTTTGACAAACCTGACAAAAAGAAGAAATGGGGAAAGGATTCCCTATTTAATAAATGGTGCTGGGAAAACTGGCTAGCCATATGTAGAAAGCTGAAACTGGATCCCTCCTTTACACCTTATACAAAAATTAATTCAAGATGGATTAAAGACTTACATGTTAGACCTAAAACCATAAAAACCCTACAAGAAAACCTAGGCAATACCATTCAGGACATAGGCGTGGGCAAGGACTTCATGTCTAAAACACCAAAAGCAATGGCAACAAAAGCCAAAATTGACAAATGGGATCTAATTAAACTAAAGAGCTTCTGCACAGCAAAAGAAACCACCATCAGAGTGAACAGGCAACCTACAGAATGGGAGAAAATGTTTGCAACCTATTCATCTGACAAAGGGCTAATATCCAGAATCTACAATGAACTCCAACAAATTTACAAGAAAAAAACAAACAACCCCATCAACAAGTGGGCAAAGGATATGAACAGACACTTCTCAAAAGAAGACATTTATGCAGCCAAAGAACACATGAAAAAATGCTCATCATCACTGGCCATCAGAGAAATGCAAATCAAAACCACAATGAGATACCATCCATCCCACACCAGTTAGAATGGCAATCATTAAAAAGTCAGGAAACAACAGGTGCTGGAGAGGATGTGGAGAAATAGGAACACTTTTACACTGTTGGTGGGACTGTAAACTAGTTCAACCATTGTGGAAGTTGGTGTGGCGATTCCTCAGGGATGTAGAACTAGAAATACCATTTGACCCAGCCATCCCATTACTGGGTATATACTCAAAGGATTATAAATCATGCTGCTATAAAGACACATGCACATGTATGTTTATTGCGGCACTATTCACAATAGCAAAGACTTGGAACCAAGCCAAATGTCCAACAATGATAGACTGGATTAAGAAAATGTGGCACATATACAACATGGAATACTATGCAGCCATAAAAAAGGATGAGTTCATGTGCTTTGTAGGGACATGGATGAAGCTGGAAACCATCATTCTCAGCAAACTATTGCAAGAACAAAAAACCAAACGCTGCATGTTCTCACTCACAGGTGGGAACTGAACAATGAGAACACATGGACACAGGAAGGGGAACATCACACACCGAGGACTGTTGTGGGGTTGGGGGAGAGGGGAGGGATAGCACTGAGAGATATACCTAATGCTAAATGATGAGTTAATGGGTGCAGCACACCAACATGGCCATGTATACATATGTAACAAACCTGCACATTGTGCACATGTACCCTAAAACTTAAAGTATAATAATAATAAAATTAAAAAAAAATAGGCAGTTGCCACTTTGTAGATCATAAATAAAAGTGATGTTAAAAAAATTTTAATTGGGAGGTCATTAAGCCGAAGCATTCCCAGCACTTTAAGTTCCTAGGTAAGCAAACCAAAGCCCAATGTGAACAGTAAAATGAAACTAGAGAAGTTACCATCAGAAACCTCCAACTAACCTCTAACTAGGGACTTTCTACTCTAACAAATCAAATATGTTTTCTTTGTCTTACTTCCACGTTCCGCCTATTAAAGCTCACTACCCATGCTGCTGGGTAGAGCTCTCTGAACCTTTTCTGGTTCTGGGTGCTGCCCAATTCATGAATCCTCTAATGCTCACATAAACTCTGTTAAAAGTATTGTGTCCAGTGTTTTTCTTTTAACAGTGGCAAAAAGACTAACTTACAGGTTCCATTTTTGTTGACTTGAATCTTTCGACTCTGAACAAGAGGGACCCCTCACTGGAATCTCTGTTTTTATTATGATTTTTATATAATGTGCTAGTTTTTACAGAAGTAATTCAAGTGTACTCCGACATATATGGCTTAAAAACTTTGATTCATCAGAATAAGAGTCATTTTCTATTTTACACTCTACTTTCTGCTACAGAATTATTTCCAGTTGTCATGTATTAAGATGGAACCCAAAGAAGACATCATCCAGCAAGGTGTGTCCCAGGTGTCCATGCTACAGGGCAGGCACCCTATGATGACTCCATCCTCCCATCATTTTTATCCTGCCAAATTGCTATAAAACTAGTTCAATAAGCTTGCCATGACTTTAACAGAAATGCACCGATTATGTAATATGTCCTTTTCTGTTCTTTATCATTAGATTGTGACAGTTAACATAGTATGTGCCTCTAATGTACTATGCCATTTCCATGATGCCAAATTGATTCAATATATACTCTAAGAAACTAAACTCTTGGTCTATAAAAAAGTCATTCAACTGTGAACGCTCATGGCAAAGGAGTTTTGCTTTTGTACCTGATGATAGAGTCCCACACAACACAAAATGAGGACAAGACAGATTTTATCAACCCAATGACAGTCAGATGTGTCTTGCAAACATTTAAAGTCAAGTGATGTGATTTTAGATGAAGTCTTGGTTACCTACAGGACTGAGAACAAAGGCACTGAAATCTCATGACAGCACTCAGTTATAAGGTGATCATCTAGGGTTTATCTGTACATTATTATACTAAACAATGAAAAGATTATCATAAAAAATTTTTAAGTTATCATCAAAAAACACACAATTGGAAAAACTAGTAGAATTTGCAAGTCATCTGAGAACCACCAGGGGTCTGTGGATCTTAGTATAAACAGACTCGAGTTGATCTAAAACTGCTGAGTGCAAGTCAGTCTTCAGAAGATACAGCTTTGCCAACTACGCTGTAACAACAGAAAAGGACTCTTTATCATTTCCTTTAAATAGTAAGTGTTATAAGTGGATAAACAAGCATGAGTCGGTTTGTTAAAACTTGATTTAAATACAACTTTTTTGGGAGCATATCCTTCATATAAAGCAAGAGCCAATTACTCTGACTCTCTCCAGTGGAGCAGAGGGGAAGGCCGCCTGTAATGAGAAAGCAAAGTAAGCCTGGAGGTTTCATAGTTGGCTATACAGTTTCCAATATAGGGCTCCTTCTCATAGTTTGGTCTACCTCCCTATTTAACACAGACTGCAACAAATGTTAGAATAAAAGTAAAACACAAGTCAAGAAAGCAACAGTAGTAATGGTGCTCTTGATCTGTTGAGAGGCCATGAGATGATCCAGCCATAATAGCAATGAGCTATTTCCCTTGCACTTCAAGTACTGGGGGAGGATTTTAATGTCATTGCACTAGAGAGGTTCTGTCATCTGTGTTTCACACAAGGTCAGATTCTAAAGTAACATTTCCTGACAAAGGGGGCTTTAGAAGCCTCTCCCGGTTTACTGTCTAGAATAACACGGACCTTGAGGGGATTACGTGGCAGTTAAAAAATACAGCACTCAACAGCACTCACAATCATGTTTGACCAAATATCTGAGTACTTAGTGGCAAATGCAGATCTTGGGGTTTCTCAGCCTCCGTAATCACATGAGCCAATTCTTTACATAAATCTCTTTATACACACATACAGACACGTAGCACTCATTAGAAAGACATTAGGAACAGCAATACCATAGGACATCCAGAGGGAAGCAGAGCTTTCCATTGACATCAACCAATAAAGACTCCAAGACGGTTCTCCAAACGACAAGCCTACAAGCAAAGACTATGATGTAGCTATGAGGATCATGCAGCTCAGCACAGGCAGTGTGGGGCAATGCTGCATGGACACAGAGAGAATGCAGATCCTCCCAGAACTATCATTCTTTTACCACATGAGTTAAAGGTGGTCACCAGCTTTTAAGAGAGGAACACCTAGGGTCTTGGTATTAGAACCTACAATACAATAGGACATGATACATTACAAACCAATGTAATTAATTATGAACAGTATGTAACAACATCAATGTAACTAAAGAAAATTGTACATACAGTTTTCATTACCCAATGTGGCTTTGGTTATTCTCACCGGTTATTTTCATAAAGTCTGAGTTAATGTTACATGGAGATATCTGGACAATGTGGACCAACCTGACTATTGAGATCATGGCTGGATATCCACATGGTGGGCACAACCCAAGCTGCAGCCATGCCTACCCTTCATTCTCCTTACTGAATACGGCTTTAAGGAGGCTGACTTCCCTCCGAGTCCAAAGGTGCCTACTGGTACCTATAAATACATTTGTGTGGTGGCTGGTTTGGGAGTTTTGTCCCCAAAATACTAAGATGAACATACCTATACTGTTGCATATCTATTGCAAGTCAGTAACAGACATTGCCAAACACAAAGAAAACACAAAATTGCACTCCAGCTCTATAAAGGGAGCTTTCCCATCTTTAGGAGAAATCTGGTAGCTAGTGGCAGAAACTGACACCCACCCCCTGACTTCCAGCCTTTACTCCCTTCATAAACAATTGACGAGCTTTGGGAGCCTCTACACCTCTGTGCAGCTCCAGTTCCTGGTCACCAGAACCTACACACGACTGCCTTTGCCTGTTTTCACAGAAGTGTTCAGACATAAGCAACAAACTGCTTATTTGATGTTGTGCTAAATAGCAGTTTCTTATTTTTTTTTTTGAGATGGAGTCTCACTCTGTCACCAGGCTGCAGTGCAGTGGCACGATCTCATCTCACTGCAACCTCTGCCTCCCGGGTTCAAGCAATTCTCCTGCCTCAGCCTCCCAAGTAGCTGGGACTACAGGCGTGTGCCACTGCGCCCGGCTGATTTTTGTATTTTTAGTAGAGATGGGTTTCACTATGTTGGCCAGGATGGTCTTGATCTCCTGACCTCATGATCTGCCTGCCTCGGCCTCCCAAAGTGCTGGGATTACAGGCATGAGCCACTGTGCCTGGCCCTTATTTCCTCTTTTGCAGCTAAGAGCCTTTCCTCCAGGTGACTGGATAATTTTCTCTAAACATCCTCCTTCCTTCACCCTCTCCCATTTATTGTCTACAGTAACCTTAACATCTGGACGCAGACAGCCCCAGCAATCCTGGAGGAAACCTTGGAAATACGCGGGTCATCTTCTATGAAGACCACAGCAGCCCTGAGAAACCAATACAGCGTTCCAATCTTTAAAAGAAGGTACAAGGGGGTGACCACCATTGAAACTGAAAGCTGATTACATTTCAGGAAATAGAAAATTCAATCCCATCACCAAAGAAGGCCCCTGCCAGGGATTCTTCCAGCAGAGGGGCAGGCAAGGAGACCTAGTGCTAATGTGGAGGTTTGTACTTCCCCAAAAGTCTGGTTGTTGGGAGCTTCAGTGAACTTATGTGTGATGACACAAGGCCACATGGGTTACAGGCAGTCAAAATTTATCCATAAACATATACTTGTAAATATACATATATAAAGATTATATATGTCATCATGTCTAAACGCTCAACAATCAACCTGGGAAGATGGAATTGCTTTAGAAAGAAGGATGTTAAGGCATATGTGACTGCTCAAGGTGACACTGTTATGGGTGGAGCTACAGTCTGAATCACTTCTGAAAGCAAGTCATTGACTCTTTGCTGTGTTTGATGTCCTTTCAGAAGTTTAAATAATTAAGGAAATGTAGGGGGATAATTATTATTATTTGGTGACCAGTTTGCTTCCCTGCTGAGAGGAGACTGCCTAGGCAATTGTTAGGGGACAAGATGGAAATACTGCTGTCAGGTCCTCTCCTCTCTCTTTTCCATGCTACCCTCCAGGCTCTCTCACAAATTACAGGATCACAAAGGAGAGGATTCGGAAGGCAGCAAAGACCCTGCAGGGACACATTCCTGCCACTTTGCTGGTGCCACCCAGCTCCCCCTTTACGTTCTTAGCACAGCGACCCAGTCTCAAGAAGCTGCTGACTCTGTTTTGAAACAATTCTGATTGTCAAGGATTTTTTTTTCCCTTACACTGATCTTAAAAAGTCTGTTTCCCTGCAACCTTGTCTCATTCAGCTCTGCCCTCCTCAACTTCTTGTGAATCCCTTTAAGTTCTTCTCTTCTCCAGGGTTCCCCCTTCCTCTCACTACTCTTCATCCTGACAGATCTTCCTGGCTCATCACCCTGCTGGGCACTCTCCTAGGGAGAAACTGAGATTTGTCATCGTTCTCTTACAGTGGGTGCCACCACCTAAGCCAGCACTTCTGAGGTGCTCTCGCTATCTCGGGATGCAGGAGGACCCCCACTTCCCTCAATTCAGGCACTCGAATTCCACCTGCTGCAGTAACCATGGTGGCAGCCCTGCCACTCTTTCAGCCTTCATTCTGGCCAATGCTAGGACAAACTAGCTCTGTAAATTGGAAAATTCCAATACCTAACATGTCCTTTAATTTGGTTCATCAGTTGAAATCTTTTGAAATTCTGTCATTTGACCTCTTTGTTGTGCTTGCCCTGTGGGGCCACACAGAGAGTCTTGAAGCATGCAGGGCTGCTGGCAGAGACTTGCAACCTGGGGACAGCTCACACCACATAATGGTTGGCAGCAGAGAAGGTGGCATCAGGGGTTTCCCTGGGGTAAAGGGTGGTTCTCAGGATCTGGAATCCGAGGCAGTGCTGGAACAAGGCAGATGGGACATTGGGTTCTGGCTTCATACAGAGCACATTGGACAAACTTCAGCAAACACCTTCCCTCAAGCTTCAGGAAATATTATCCCATCCATCCAGAATTTCCAGCTCTCCCACAGCTTCATAGCCTGAGGCATCTTAAAGGAGCTTGTAAGATCCACAGAACCGATTCTCCTTTCTGACTTTGAAACAGTCATAACCACGACTTTGACCTACACCTCCTATCTTCATTCAAGACCTTCATAGAAACTTGAATAGGAGTGGGTCAAAAAGAAGGGTCCTGTGCCCTTTCCTCCTCATGCCATGCGAGCAACACTAGTAAACACTGTGCATGACTGTCCATCCCAGGTCAGGGAAACCTTCTTGTATGGCCGGTGTTTCTCCAGCATATTCATTACCAACCAAACTTTGAAAGGCTCCATCAAATAGCTTCCTGAAATCAAGAAACCTGAGATCTTTAACATTCCTTTTAATTTCAGTAACTTTATTACAGGTTCAATAATGTACTCTTTTGACCCTTTCTGGAAATTAAACATAATTTTCTTTCAGCACTCTCAGGTAAGATTCATTTAGGCCTGCAGATGGGCTTAAAGGAGTTAAGTATTGGCTTATTGCTTTGACCACTTTGGGATTTTTTCTTTTGCTTTCAATATTGTTTATTCCTTACATTATTTTTAATTGAACATAATAATTATACATCTTTATAGGGTATAGAGTGGTATTTTGATAGATACAATGTGTAATGATAAATCACGGTAATTAACACATCCATCACCTCAAAGAGTTTTCAATTCTTTACGTTGGGAACATTCAAAATCTTCTATTCTAGCTATTTGAAAATATACAAAAATTTTTAACTGTAGTCACCCAACAGTGCTATAGAACACTAGAACATATTCCTCTGATCTGGCTATAATTTTGTAACCTTGAACCAACCTCTCCATCTCCTCCCCTCCTACCCTTCTCAGTTTCTAATAACTACAATTGTACTCTCTACTTCTATGAGATCAACTGTTTTTCAGCTTCTGTATGTGAATGAGATCATATGGTATTTGTCTTTCTGTGCCTGGGTTACTTCACTTAACGTAATGTCCTCCAGGCTCATCCATGTTGCCATGAATGACAGAGTTTTATTTTTAAATGGCTGAATAGTATTCCATTGTATAAATATACCACACTTTCTTTATCCATTCATCTGTCGATGGACACTTAGGTTGATTCAATATCTTAGCGATTGTGAATAGTGCTGTGATAAACATGGGGTGCAGGTATTCCTCTGATATGCTGGTTTCCTTTCCTTTGGATAAATGCCTAGTAATGGGGCTGGGCATGGTAGCTCTTATCTGTAATCCTAGCACTTTGGGAGGCCAAAGTGGGCAGATGACTTGAGATCAGGGGTTCAAGACCAGCCTGGCTAACATGGCGAAACCCCATCTCAACTAAAAAGATTAGCTGGGTGTGGTGGCACACACCTGTAATCCCAGCTACTGGGGAGGTTGAGGCAGGAGAATCACTTGAACCCAGGAGATGGAGGTTGCAGTGAGCCAAGATCATGCCATTGCACTCTAGACTAGGCAACAGAGCAAGACTCCTTCTCAAAAAAAAAAAAAAAAAAAAAAAACCAAAAAAACAAAAAATATAAAACAAAACAATACAGAAACCTAGTAGTAGGATTGCTGGGTTGTATGGTAGTTCTATTTTAGTTTTTTGGAGGAACCGCCATACTATTCTCCATAGTGGCTGTACTAACTTACGTTCCTACCAACACAGTATAAGTGGGTTTTTTTTGCATCCTTGTCAGCATTTGTTATTTTTTGTCTTTTTGATCATAGCCGTTCTAACTGGGGTGAGATAATATCTCACTGTGGTTTTTATTTGCATTTCCCTGATGATGGTGATGTTGAACATTTTTTTCATATACCTCTTGGCCATTTGTATGTTTACTTTTGAGAAATGTCTGTTTAGATCATTTGCCCAGTTTTTAGTCACAACCCTGTTTATTGTTTTCTTTCCAGTTAGACCATTGTCTTTGATAGGAAAGATATATGCGAAGTTGCTTTTACTTCATCTGCCTTCTCAACATCAACTACCATAGCCACTCAACCCCTTGAAGCAGGAAGTACTTCTGTGCCTCCTTGCCCTTACTGCTGGATATCTTCTATTTGTTCCTCCAGAAACACTACCTTTCTGTACGCTGCTCTGAGCCCTGAGAGAGATCTTGGACGGAATGGACCAATGGGTCTCTCTTTGCCTTCTGGCTGGGTTCAGCCAAGGGGAGGCAGCACCAGGAGGTCGTGGAGCAGACAGTGGGTCAGCTCCCTTCCTGCCCGATCCCACGGATTGGCTGGGCTCCACCATTGAGAGCCACCACTTCTGCTATGGGTTCCTTCCCCCCAGATTACTCCCATCAGGTTCCAACTTGCTCCATCTTTTGTCACTTTCCCTGTATCCTACTCACACCTTTTAAAATCTTCTTTTTATTAAAATATCCTCAAATATCTTTAGTGAGCCATCTGTTTCCTCTGAGATCACATCATCTTTCTTGTCACTCCAAATCAAACAGTCTTTTTGCTGTGGTGGCGGCTGACCTCAGGATGTTTGGCAAGACTCCAATCTTTTCTGAGTGTTAGCCTATCTGAATGTTATTCTTTCAGGTTTGGATGCTTTATGTTTCTTTCTCCTTATCTTCCTTGCTTTATTTTAAGCATCTTTTTAAAATTTCAGCTCTTCAGTAAGAGCTGTGTAGTTTTCTAATTTAATTGCACGTTTCCTTTTTTTTTTTTTCTCAGTAGAAACATTTGGAAATCCCAAACTTGCTAGAGAAACTCAACTTTGAAAGGGACCTGGGGTCACATGAGAGTTGCCCAGTCCAGCTCTTCTCATTCTTTGCCCTTTCCCTCGGGCAACATCTCACACATATAAAATCATGTTTGACTTTTGGCTCTGTATTTCTATTAACAAAATGGCTGTGATGCCCTCACAAATGACGGAGTGTGTCACAACAGTGAGGCTTGTGAACCACTCACCCAGCTAACTGACAAAGATTCTCCTCTCTGCTTTGAAGCTTTTCAGGAAAACAAGCCAGGCCTGGAAAAGCTTAAAAGAGGCTCAGTCAAAATTATTCCTTAAGAATTGATCCAACATGAAGCACGCAAAAAGAATTTAGTTAACATATTTGTCCGCCCCTACTCCAGGAAACACATTATGGCTTGATTTTACATCAGGGATTTGTGCTCATAAAAGTATTTTAAGGAGGTAGACTTGGGGTAAAGATAAGATAGAAAAGACTGAACATAAGATTTATCTAACTTAGCAATGCCTAAAAAAAAATGAAGAATTATAGCATCAAAATAGTGAAACCAGTCAAAATTTTTATCAGCAGCCACCAACCAAGGAAATGGACATAACCTAATGTCACACACTTCCAAAACCAGCAGCCAAGGAAATTCTGCAGAGAAGCAGTGGAGAAAGGCTTGGCCTGGCCTGGCCCTGCCACCTGGCTCCTCCTCACTCCTCCTGCTTGGGAACCTTTCCCTGTGAATCTGGAAAAGACCGAGCTTCTCCTTCTAACCAGGGAAACCTGGATAGGGCTGCTAGGGAGGATCAGAGATAAGAAGGTAGGTGGAGGATGGGCTGTCAGCGACGGAAGTGAATTTATAGTATCATCCCATTTTTATAAAAGTGAGTCTGGCTATCTCTCTAGTCTGCCAGACTTCTACTTATGTATATGCATAGAAAGAATTCAAATATAGAAACAATACTGAACAATTATGAGGCTTATGGTTACTGAACAGAATCAGCGCAATGTCAAAATAGTGATTTATTTTTTCTTTCTATTAAAATGCAAGCCCCATTATGTGTGAGAATCTTGTCTGTTCCATCGATAGCTTATAGCTCTAGGCTCAGCACCTTGAAGGTGCCTTACACAAAGTATTCTCTAAATAAACACTGGTTGAATGAATGAATGATAATGATCTATAAAAATCAGGAGGTGGGTGATAGAGAAATGAAGGAAGCATTAAAATCATCTTCTTTCATTGCTCGAAGTTCACTGATACTATATAAAAGTGAACCATTAATTAATAAAAGTATTACAATTCCAATAGCTTTCATAATCTCTTTTGATAAGGCATCTGTAAAAAATCAGTATGTTGAAAATTCTTTTCTTTAAGAATGTTGAATATTGGCCCCCACTCTCTTCTGGCTTAGAGAGTTTCTGCCAAGAGATCAGCTGTTAGTCTGATGGGCTTCCCTTTGTGGGTAACCCGACCTTTCTCTCTGGCTGCCTTAACATTTTTTCCTTCATTTCAACTTCGGTGAATCAGACAATGATGTGTCTTGGAGTTGCTCTTCTTGAGGAGTATCTTTGTGGCATTCTCTGTATTGCCTGAATTTGAATGTTGGCCTGCCTTGCTAGATTGGGGAAGTTCTCTTGGATAATATCCTGCAGAGTGTTTTCCAACTTGGTTCCATTCTCCCAGTCACTTTCAGGTACATCAATTAGATGTAGATTTGGGCTTTACACATAGTCCCATATTTCTTGGAGGCTTTGTTTGTTTCTTTTTATTCTTTTTTCTCTAAACTTCTCTTCATGCTTCATTTCATTCATTTCAAACTAAGCTTCATAAGTGAAGGAGAAATAAAATACTTTACAGACAAGCAAATGCTGAGAGATTTTGTCACCACCAGGCCTGCCCTAAAAGAGCTCCTGAAGGAAGCACTAAACATGGAAAGGAACAACTGGTACCAGCCACTGCAAAAACATGCCAAATTGTAAAGACCATTGATGCTAGGAAGAAACTGCATCAACTAACGAGCAAAATAACCAGCTAACATCATAAGGACAGGATCAAATTCACACATAACAATACTAACCTTAAATGTAAATGGGCCAAATGCTCTAATTAAAAGACACAGACTGGCAAATTGGATAGAGTCAAGACCCAGCAGTGTGCTGTATTCAGGAAACCCATCTCACGTGCAGAGACACACATAGGCTCAAAATAAAGGGATGGAGGAAGATCTACCAAGCAAATGGAAAACAAAAAAAGGCAGGGGTTGCAATCCTAGTCTCAGATAAAACAGACTTTAAATCAACAAAGATCAAAAGAGACAAAGAAGGCCATTACATAATGGTAAAGGGGATCAATACAACAAGAAGAACTAACTATCCTAAATATATATGCACCCAATACAGGAGCACCCAGATTCATAAAGCAAGCCCTTAGTGACCTACAAAGAGACTTGGGAGACTTTAACACCCCACTGTCAACATTAGACAGATCAACGAGACAGAAAGTTAACAAGGATATCCAGGAATTGAACTCAGGTCTGCACCAAGCGGACCTAATAGACATCTACAGAACTCTCCACCCCAAATCAACAGAATATACATTCTTTTCAGCACCACACCACACCTATTCCAAAATTGACCACATAGTTGGAAGTAAAGCACTCCTCAGCAAATGTAAAAGAATAGAAATTATAACAAACTGTCTCTCACACCACAGTGCAATCAAACTAGAACTCAGGATTAAGAAATTCACTCAAAACCGCTCAACTACATGGAAACTGAACAACCTGCTGCTGAATGGCTACTGGGTACATAACGAAATGAAGGGAGAAATAAAGATGTTTTTTGAAACCAACAAGAACAAAAACACAACATACCAGAATCTCTGGGACACATTCAAAGCAGTGTGTAGAGGGAAATTTATAGCACTAAATGCCCACAAGAGAAAGCATGAAAGGTCTAAAATTGACACCCTAACATCACAATTAAAAGAACTAGAGAAGCAAGAGCAAACACATTCAAAAGCTAGCAGAAGGCAAGAAATGACTAAGATCAGAACAGAACTGAAGGAAATAGAGACACAAAAAACTCTTCAAAAAATCAATGAATCCAGGAGCTGGTTTTTTGAAAAGATCAACAAAATTGATAGACCACTAGCAAGACTAATAAAGAAGAAAAGAGAGAAGAATCAAATAGATGTAATAAAAAATGATAAAGGGGATATCACCACTGATCCCACAGAAATACAAACTACCATCAGAGAATACTATAAACACCTCTATGCAAATAAACTAGAAAATCAAGAAGAAATGGATAAATTCCTCAACACATACACTCTCCCAAGACTAAACCAGGAAGAAGTTGAATCTCTGAATAGACCAATAACAGGCTCTCAAATTGAGGCAATAATTAATAGCTTACCAACCAAAAAAAGTCCAGGACCAGATGGATTCACAGCCGAATTCTACCAGAGGTACAAGGAGGAGCTGGTACCATTCCTTCTGAAACTATTCCAATCAATAGAAAAAGAGGGAATCCTCCCTAACTCATTTTATGAGGCCAGCGTCATCCTGATACCAAAGCCTGGCAGAGACACCACATAAAAAGAGAATATTAGACCAATATCCTTGATGAACACCGATGCAAAAATTCTCGGTAAAATACTGGCAAACCGAATCCAGCAGCACATCAAAAAGCTTATCCACCATAATCAAGTGGGCTTCATCCCTGGGATGCAAGGCTGGTTCAACATACGAAAATCAATAAACGTAATCCAGCATATAAACAGAACCAAAGACAAAAACCACATGATTATCTCAAAAGATGTAGAAAAGGCCTTTGACAAAATTCAACAACGCTTCATGCTAAAAAACTCTCAATAAATTAGGTATTGATGGGATGTATCTCAAAATAATAAGAGCTATGTATGACAAACCCACAGCCAATATCATACTGAATGGACAAAAACTGGAAGCATTCCCTTTGGAAACGGGCACAAGACAGGGATGCCCTCTCTCACCACTCCTATTCAACATAGTGTTGGAAGTTCTGGCCAGGGCAATCAGGCAGGAGAAGGAAATAAAGGGTATTCAATTAGGAAAAGAGGAAGTCAAATTGTCCCTGTTTGCAGATGACATGATTGTATATCTAGAAAACCCCATCGTCTCAGCCCAAAATCTCCTTAAGCTGATAAGCAACTTCAGCAAAGTCTCAGGATACAAAATCAATGTGCAAAAATCACAAGCATTCTTATACACCAATAACAGACAAACAGAGAGCCAAATCATGAGTGAACTCCCATTCACAATTGCTTCAAAGAGAATAAAATACCTAGGAATCCAACTTACAAGGGATGTGAAGGACCTCTCCAAGGAGAACTACAAACCACTACTAAATGAAATAAAAGAGGATACAAATGGAAGAACATTCCATGCTCAAGGCTAGGAAGAATCGATATCGTGAAAATGGCCAAGGTAATTTATGCCCAAGGTAATTTATAGATTCAATGCCATCCCCATCAAGCTACCAATGACTTTCTTCACAGAATTGGAAAAAACTACTTTAAGGTTCATATGGAACCAAAAAAAGAGCCCGCATTGCCAAGTCAATCCTAAGCCAAAAGAACAAAGCTGGAGGCATCATGCTACCTGACTTCTAACTATACTACAAGGCCACAGTAACCAAAACAGCATGGTACTGGTACCAAAACAGAGATATAGACCAATGGAAAAGGACAGAGCTCTTAGAAATAATGCCGCACATCTACAACTATCTGATCTTTGACAAACCTGACAAAAAGAAGAAATGGGGAAAGGATTCCCTATTTAATAAATGGTGTTGGGAAAACTGGCTAGACATATGTAGAAAGCTGAAACTGGATCCCTTCCTTACACCTTATACAAAAATTAATTCAAGATGGATTAAAGACTTACATGTTAGACCTAAAACCATAAAAACCCTACAAGAAAACCTAGGCAATACCATTCAGGACATAGGCGTGGGCAAGGACTTCATGTCTAAAACACCAAAAGCAATGGCAACAAAAGCCAAAATTGACAAATGGGATCTAATCAGACTAAAGAGCTTCTGCACAGCAAAAGAAACCACCATCAGAGTGAACAGGCAACCTACAGAATGGAAGAAAATTTTTGCAACCTACTCATCTGACAAAGGGCTAGGGCTAATATCCAGAATCTACAATGAACTCCAACAAATTTACAGGAAAAAAACAAACAACCCCATCAAAAAGTGGGTGAAGGATATGAACAGACACTTCTCAAAAGAAGACATTTATGCAGCCAAAAAACACATGGGAAAAATGCTCATCATCACTGGCCATCAGAGAAATGCAAATCAAAACCACAATGAGATACCATCCATCTCACACCAGTTAGAATGAAAATCATTAAAAAGTCAGGAAACAACAGGTGCTGGAGAGGATGTGGAGAAATAGGAATGCTTTTACACTGTTGGTGGGACTGTAAACTAGTTCAACCATTGTGGAAGTTGGTGTGGCGATTCCTCAGGGATCTAGAACTGGAAATATCATTTGACCCAGCCATCCCATTACTGGGTATATACCCAAAGGATTATAAATCATGCTGCCATAAAGACACATGCTCACGTATGTTTATTGCGGCACTATTCACAATAGCAAAGACTTGGAACCAAGCCAAATGTCCAACAATGATAGACTGGATTAAGAAAATGTGGCACATATACACCATGGAATACTATGCAGCCATAAAAAAGGATGAGTTCATGTCCTTTGTAGGGACATGGATGAAGCTGGAAACCATCATTCTCAGCAAACTATCGCAAGGGAAAAAAACCAAACACCACATGTTCTCACTCATAGGTGGGAATTGAACAATGAGAACACATGGACACAGGACGGGGAACATCACACACCGGGGCCTGTTGTGGGGTGGGGGGAAGGGGAGGGATAGCATTAGGAGATATACCTAATGTTAAATGACGAGTTAATGGGTGCAGCACACCAACATGGCACATGTATACATATGTAACAAACCTGCATGTTGTGCACATGTACCCTAAAACTTAAAGTATAATAAAAAAAATAATTATGTTGGATAGTAAAAAAAATTATATGAGGGTCAGAATTCCTCTCGTGTTACTTTAGTTTCATTTACTTCTGTATATAAGTACAGTGGATCTGAATATGTATTTTTTAAATTAAAAATGGCATTAGAGTATGATTCCATTTTTATAGTGTGTCTATCTAGCCAGCCAACTTCTCTAAGGATGTATCCATATATATGTATATACACACACATATATATGCCTACATAATCTTTGAAAGAGTATGAAATGAAGTCCACTTAATGCTCAACATCGTTATTTCTGGAAGGTGAGATTTAGAAAATGATTTTACTCTTTTCTTTTTACTTTTCTGCAACTCTTGAGTCCTTTAAAATGAGTACTCGTGGTCTTCACAGAAACATACTGCCATTTTTCTTTAAATTTATTTTAATAAAGGTGATAATGAAAGTAGATGCCAGAATATCATGTTACTACCACAGATTGAAATGTCTAATAATTTGATTTTGTTTCTTTTAAAATAAATAATTATTGTTGCAGGAAGTCAGGGACCCCAAACGGAGGGACCGGTTGAAGCCATGGCAGAACATAAATTGTGAAGATTTCATGGACGCTAATTAGTTCCCCAAATTAATACTTTTATAATTTCTTATGCCTGTCTTTACTGCAATCTCTGAACATAAACTGTGAAGATTTCATGGACACTTATCACTTCCCCAATCAATATTCTTGTGATTTCTTACGCCTGTCTTTACTTTAATCTCTTAATCCTGTCATCTTCGTAAGCTGAGGATGTATGTCACCTCAGGACCCTGTAATGATTGCGTTAACTGCACAAATTGTTTAAACAATAGGAAATCTGGGCACCTTGAAAAAAGAACAGGATAACAGCAATGTTCAAGGAACAAGGGAGATAACCATTAGGTCTGGTAGCCTGAGAGCCAGGCGGAACAGAGCCATCTTTCTCTTCTTTCAAGAGCAAATAGGAGAAATATTGCTGAAGTCTTTTTCTCAGCAAGGAACATCCCTGAGAAAGAGAGTGCATTCTTAGTGGGAGGTCTCTAAAATGGCCGCTCTAGGAATGTCTGTCTTTTACGGTTGATAAGATGTTATCAATGACAAAGCGTGCCTGAAACTTCATTAGCAATTTTAATTTCGCCCCGGGCCTGTGATCTCGCCCCACCTCCATTTGCCTTGTCATATTTTATTACCTTGTGAAGCATGTGATCTCTGTGACCCACACCATATTTGTACACTCCCTCCCCTTTTGAAAATCACTAGTAAAAACCTGCTGGTTTTGTGGCTTAGGGGGCATCACAGAACCTGCCGACATGTGATGTCTCCCCCGGACACCCAGCTTTAAAAATTTATCTCTTTGTACTCTTTCCCTTTGTTTCTCAGACCGGCCGACGCTTACGGAAAATAGAAAAGGACTCATGTTGAATTATCAGGGGTGGGTTCCCCTGATAAATGATAGCTCTGAGGACAGACTGTAGGTTGAATAAGACTTTGCTTATTTACAAAGGTTTTCTTAGCTTACACATGCTCCCTCTCTCACTCTTTCTAAAGCATACTGTCACAGAGGCTCCTGGCTCAAGTCTATCTTGGACTGATAATGTCAGCATACGCCAGAAGACAACTCCATTTTTAAGACACCTAATTATTGGCGATTAAAGCTTTCCTGTAATTTGTAGGATCATTCCAAAATGCATTCCACTGAACAATGCATTCTGAGACTCGTCTATTTTCCTTCTCTGTCTCACACTATGGGCAAGGTAAACTGAAAGAATCAGACTTCCAGGAGGTGTTAAGGCTGTAGGCGAATGACCAGGCATCAGTCTCACTACCTATATTCTACAAATAGCATGCATTTCAAAGTCATCCCATTCTTGGAACACAGTAGAGTATGCAGTTTTAATGTGTGTTTCTCACTCTTCTCAATAGCAGATATGGCAGGGCATATAGTGGAAGGTGATAAGTTTAAGAGTTGGGAGACTTGGGTTCTACTGTTTGTATTTACTACTGGCCAACACACCTAACTTCTCTATGACTTAGCTTCATTATCTGAAAAAAGGATTAGACTAGATCCCTGGTTCTAGACTCTGGTTGTACCTTGGAATCACCTGGGATGCGTTACTAACTGGTGATGCCTTGGGTGCACCCTAAAAATCTCTGGGCAGCTTGGACATCAGAAAGGCTATAAAGCTTTGCATGTGATTCAGTCAAGGTTACAGTCAAGGTTAAGGACCATTGAGCTGCTTGATCACCAAAATACCTTTATTCTAAATTCCACCTTACATCACAGAATATTTCGCTGCTGGCTCAGTCCTGGTTCCCCAACACTCTGAGAAAAGTGCGGACAAAAATGTGTCAGATCTTCATGCATAGGGGTGGCTTGGAAATCCTCAGGTAGGACTAGGCAGAAAAACATCCCTTCTATCTAAGCAGATAAGCCACAGATGAAATGGTATCTGACCCTTTGTTTCATTAACATGCCATACAGGGTTCAACATAATCTTCAGAAGCCTGTCACTTTTTATTTGATTTGGCCATTAAGAGAGTCTCTTTTACCTCCACTTGCTCTAATTGTAATGGTGAAGGTTTGCGCTGCTGCCAAATGGCCTTGTAATGTTATTAGCTGCTGCTTCTCAATCTCTGCCTGCTGGAAATCTCAGTTTTTCCCGGTACAACTTGTGTGTGGGGTGGAGAGGCTGCATCCCCAGAAAGTGCACACTTGACCCTGGAGACCAGGGTGAGGATTGGCAGGAAGAAGTGTGGAAGGCTTTGCAACCATTCTCCACATTGTAGACTGGGTGGCTTGCAAAGTGTCAGCTTGGAGAGGCTCCCCCTCCCCCAGATCTCCTTTCCTGAATGTTTCTTGTTAGAGTGGGCCACAAGAGATGCTTACATGTGAGATTCAGAGGAGGCAGGGAAGCGGCAGCCATTCTGTAGCTCACACCTGTTTTATCTGTGGCTCATGTTGCTGGGTGGGGCAGTAGCCAAGTCACAACTGCTCTACCTTCCCTGAATTTTCCTTCAGCTTCTGTGACTCTTGGGCCAGGTGCGTGTGTATGTCTGTGATGATGGGAGCCGGCATATCCTGTAGGACAACTATAGCACCCAGAGAGGCAGCGATAACTGACCTGAGTTCCGGTGGGTCTTCATGGGTTCTGTGTGTGCCTGTGGGTCCCAGCCCATCCCTGCTCTCCCGACTTCATATCCATCTTCCTCTGCTGACCACCTGCCTCTTGGACTTCAAGCTCCAACATCTCATGGTCAGATGTAAAGACAACAGCCTCACAGAGGCTGCTTAACCAGCAAACATAATTGCATAAGGTCAAATCCTTGTGACAAATATATATATATATATTTGTGTATGTATGTGTATATATATATTTGTCAAAGTCTCCTCTGGAGAGGCTGAGGCACAAGAATCACTTGAACCTAGGAGACAGAGGCTACAGTGAGCCGAGATTGCACCACTGTACTCCAGTCTGGGTGACAGAGACCCTGTCTCAAAAAGTAAAACATAAAAATAAATAAAAGATGTTAAACGTCAATAATAGACTGGATAAAGAAAATGTGGCACATATACACCATGGAATACTATGCAGCCATAAAAAAGGATGAGTTCATTCCCTTTGCAGGGACATGGATGAAGCTGGAAACTAACATTCTCAGCAAACTATCACAAGGACAGAAAACGAAACACCGCATGTTCTCACTCATAAGTGGGAGTTGAACAATGAGAACAGAAGGACACAGAGAGGGGAACATCACACACCAGGGCCTGTCAGGGGGTGGAGGCCTAGGGGAGAGATAGTATTAAGAGAAATAACTAATGTAAATGACGAGTTGATGGGTGCAGCAAACCAACATGGCACATATAAACCTATGTAACAAACCTGCACGTTGTGCATGTGTACCCTAGAACTTAAAGTGTGTGTGTATATACATATATGTAACAGATGTTAAATGGATAAAGGAGATGGAGGAAAAGTGGCGGAAATGGCCCAGGGGTGAGAAGTAAAGGAATTTAAGGCTTGGAGCTTAGCCAGGCTGGTGATCTATCCGGATCTGTCACTGCGGGGAAAGCCCACCCCAATGGCACACAGGTACCTTGCCTCTCTCAAATGAGAGGTGAGAAATTACTAACTCACATACGATGATGGATGCTTGTCATGAACTAGACAGACTTCCCTTTTCCACGGCCAGTTTTTGCTAATGATTTTTTTCAGTCGTGACAGCCGAAATTCTTAACTATTGAAGCAATCACAATATGGTGTTGAATTTTTTTCTTGAAGTTTGAATTTCTTTAAAGTAGAAGGAGAATTTGGAAATGAAGCATTCCCTTCAGAATAAATTAGTGTCTGTAGAAGAGAAAAACAATTAACACATTCATGCATTATGGCTTAGTTTTCACCTTTCTTTCCAAGGGCAATTTATCTAAGAAAAGCTGTTTGTCCTGATTTCGGTGATTTATTCATATGCTTGCATTTGCCTAAGTATATTTGAGTTTCACAGTCTCTGCTTCCAGCCCAGGACAACACCCTTGTAAGCTCTGGTCACAACCCTGGAGCATGAAGTCTGAGTGGAAGGTTCTAGACTGGTGCTTACCTGTGGCTCCAAAAGGAAGAAGCCAGAAACTTACGAGAGTCAGGTCACTACATCTCAGTCCTGGAATAAAAGCCAGAAAACCTGGCTTTAGCTTCTGATTTCACCACTATTTAGCCATGAGTCCTTGCAGGGCTCACCTAACCAATCTCTCTGAGCCTCCATTTCTTTGCTTGTAAAACGAGTGTTGAACCAGAAGCTCACAAAGGATCATTAAATTCTGCAGTATTATGATTCTAAGGTTTACCCTTTCTGGCAGCAATCATGGTAAGTGGTTTTTTCCCCTCTAAACATTTTACCTCTAAACATTTCCCACATAAATATTTTAATCTGAGGATAACATTTGTGTGTGTGTGTGTGAAAGTATCCCAAAATTTTCATTTCACATGAGAATTAAAATTTACAATTAAAACTTTTCATAACTGTCTCAATGTTCTCTTTCTTCTTCCCACTAAATCTTTTTGTCCCATCTATAATGAGGACTTTTTCAGACACTACACTAGCTGATGTGAAAAGCTTTGCTTTCCACCAAGAACTATGGCTCCCGGCCGGGTGCAGTGGCTCATGCCTGTAATCCCAGCACTTTGGGAGGCCGAGGTGGGCAGATCACCTGAGGTCAGGAGTTCAAGACCAGCCTGGCCAACATGGCAAAACCCCGTCTCTACTAAAAATACAAAAATTAACTGGGCGTGGTGGCATGCATCTGTAATCCCAGCTACTCAGGAGGCTGAGACAGGAAAATCGCTTCAACCCGGGAAGCGGAGGTTGCAGTGAGCTGAGATCGCACCACTGCACTCCATCCTGGGTGACAGAGCGAGACTCTGTCTCAGTTAAAAAAAAAAAAAAAAAAAAAGAACTATAGCTCTTTATACTTTTCTGTTTTATTTGGTATTCATTTATTTTAAAGAACCGTTTATTTTTTAAGGATTTTTCCCACTTTCCTACACTTTACTGTTCCCACCATCTGTTTTGAGTCTTTAATGATACAAGTTGGACTTTTGTTGTTAATTTAAGAATATGCAATTGAATCAGAAGAATTTATGAAAACTAATTCAATAGACTCATTAATGAACATAACTCCAAGATTTTTATACACATGGGATAGACTTCAACTTTATTAATTTACACAAAGCATTCAAACTCGAAAATAAGCTAGCCACAGTTTTTTGTTGTGGATTCCCCTTCTCATTTGAAAAACAATTTTTGTGTGTGTGTCTAAATGACTAGAAAACAAATAGCCAACCACAATTATTGGGGGATCTTAGGAGGTAAACAATGGTACTGCTTAGGATGCTACCACTCATGACGATTAGTTTCCAAATATTCCCTGGACTCTGTTTCAGGCCCTGGGGATCGGGTAACGGAACATGGGAAACAGAACCTTGCTCTTTGATGCTGGCGGGGCCTCTGTAAGGTTTCCCTAGTGTCACTGGGGAATAATGTATTTTGATAAATTAACTCAGATAATTTTCCTCCACCACGCTTCTCACCCAGTGTGTGTCCTGGCCTACCCCCAAGGGAGCAGCCGGGTGAGGACAAACAGACCAAGAGTGAGTCCTGGCATTTGACTCTCAGAAGGTCATTTATTATCTTAGGGCATACTGGGCAAAGCAGTCTCCTGAGGAGTAGATGCTAAGTAAAGAAGGAAAGAAAGCTGGGGTGGGGGTTGGGCAGACACCCCTGAGGGGTTGGTATGGGACCACACAGTTGATGGAACATCCGGGACAGGGACAATTAGCACCGCTCCACTTCTCAAGGGAAATACAGGAAGCTGGCAAAGTCATACACCTCCCTGCACCCCAGCTCCACAATCTGTATTCCCAGCATGATGCAGGAGCAGAAATATGGGTCCAGCACATGGACCCGAGACAACCCAGGAGAATTTCTCTCTTGCAGCTAAGAGAGGCAAATGGAGTACTTTATGTGCTCCCCAAAATAAAACACCAATGAGGCATGTGACATCACAGTAACAATACTACTACTACTACTAATAATGGGAATCACTTACAGTATACAGCTTTTACTATGGGGCAGACACGCTTTCAAATGTTTTCACATACTAACTCATTTAATCCTCCCAACAGCCACATGAAGTAGATACTATTATGAATAGCTCTAATTTATAGATGAGGTAATCAAAGCACAAAGAAGTAAAGTAAAGTGAAGTGGCCAAGGTACAGAGCCCATAGTGAGTAGAGCTGGGATTCAAACCCAGAGAGTGCGGCTTCAGAGTCAAACTTAAGAAGCCTGAGGGTCAGGACAGAGGGTGCAGCAATAACACATGTGAGTGGCCAGGTAGGGAATGAGGCTGTCTAAGGGAGACCATCCTGGAGAAATGACCATGTACTCTGGCCAGGTCCAGAAGAGCTGCCTGCCTTCCCTGCCTGAGACCACAGACACCCCCAGCCCCACCAACTGAGATGCAACTCTGAGAAAAGGGGGACTCGAAACAGAAGTTCAGTCACAGAAGAATAAAATGTTAACTCTTGCACAGCTGTGTATGATGGCTGTATTAGTTATTGCACTGACGTGGAAGGTCATAGATAGAGGTTACAAGTGATATGTTATGGGACCAATAAGTAGCACAGTCCATTGATCTCATCAGCACATATTTGGGTCACAGATGATCTCTGCCTTGTTTGAAATATGCACACACATATGTGTATATATATGTGTATATGTGTATATATATATGTGTATGTGTGTGTGTTTTCCCATATGTATACTTTAAATTATAAAATACCTGCTCCTGGCAGAAAACCTCAAATAGAGCCAAGGTGAGTAAATTAGTAAAGACCTCAAGCACTATTCTCCATCTGTTATGGGTGGAATTGTGTCCCCCCAAAAATTCATATGTGGAGTCCTAATCCCATGTACCTCAGAATGTGACTGGATTTAGAGATAGGGTCCTCAAAGAAGAAAATAAGTTAAAATGAGGTCATCAGGGTATGCCTGAATCCAGTATGACTGGTGTCCCCACAAGAAGAGGAAGTTTGGATGCAGACACACACAGAAGGAAGAGGATGTGGAGACTCAGTGAGAAGGCGGCCATCTACAAGCCAAGGAGAGAAGTCTCCGAAGAAACCAACCCTGCCCCCACCATGATCTTGGATTCTGAGCCTCCAGAACTGTGAGATAATAAATTCCTGTTGTTTAAACCATCTGGTCTGTGGGACCTTGTTACGGCAGTGCTGGCAAACTAATACTCCATCTCTGATCATTCCTACTTCCCACTGTGAAGACTTATACTCACATTTGTGGAAGACAGAATAGAAAGGGATGTCATACGTATATAGGTATACATATATATGTACATTTTTTTCTTTGTAAAATGTACAATATATAACTCTGTGTCTGTGTATCTCAAATATCCCTCTCCTTTTTTTTTTTTGTTTGAGATGGAGTCTCGCTCTGTCACCCAGGCTGGAGTCCAGTGGTGCGATCTCGGCTCACTGCAAGCTCTGCCTCCTGGGTTCACGCCATTCTCCTGCCTCAGCCTCCCAGGTAGCTGGGACTACAGGCGCCCGCCACCATACCTGGCTAATTTTTTGTATTTTTAGTAGAGATGGGGTTTTGCTGTGTTAGCCAGGATGGTCTCCATCTCCTGACCTGGTGATCCGCCCACCTTGGCCTCCCAAAGTGCTGGGATTAGGCGCGCCAGCCACCGCGCCCAGCCCCCTCTCCCTTTTTTTTATAAGGAAACCAGCCATTGGATTTAGGGTGGGCCTAATTATATACATCTGCAAAAACCCTATTTCCAAATAAGGTATTATTTATTGATATTTATATATATCTTATAATGTGTATTAATATGTATATTACAAAATACATATTTTTTCTCCCTATTTAAATTATAAAAAGACATAAGCATAAAGGTATTGCATAGTCAGTGTTTTAAGCACACAGTTTGATGAGTGTTGGTAACCGTATACAGCTGTGTAAACCACCCTCACCATCAGGATACAGCAGTTCTCTCATCTGAAAAAGTTTCCAAGTGCCCTTTCACAGCTAATTCTCTTCCTACCCACTGCTACCCCCAGCACCCCAGGAAATCATTGATCTGTTTTCTGTCAACATAGTTTTGCCCTTTTTTAGAATTTCAAGTGAATGGCATGTTTGCTGTATTTCTGAGATTATTTTTAAGCACAAAAGCAATACCATATTTCAAGTTATTTGATTGCACTTTTTATTTATAGGAATGTAAAAATAAAATGCAAAATAGGATAATAGGATGGTGCAGTGGAGCACGGGATAGGGATCATGGGGCTCTGGATTTGAGCCCCATCAACACAGCCTGCATCTGAGCTCCTGCCCCTTGCCTTGGCCCTTTGCTCACAGACTCATTTGTGTACAAATGCTTCCCAAATGCTCTGGGAAAATCCTCCAAATACTATTATTATTATTTTGAGATGGAGTCTCGCTCTGTCGCTCAGGCTGGAGTGCAGTGGCACAATCTTGGCTCACTGCAACATCCGCCTTCAGGGTTCAAGTGATTCTCCTGCCTCAGCCTCCTGAGTAACTGGGACTACAAGCATGCAAAACCATGCCTGGCTAATTTTTTGTATTTTAGTAGAGAGAGGGTTTCACCGTGTTGTCCAGGCTGGTCTCGAACTCCTGAGCTCTGGCAGTCTGCCCGCCTCAGCCTCCCAAATTGCTAGGATTACAGATGTGAGCCACCACACCCGGCCCCCCAAATAGTATTTAGTATTTTGACATCAAACATGATTTTGTAAATATTTTCAGATGGGAGAAAGTAAGATAAAATGATGAGGAATGGGCTCCAAGTCAGTGTTAGGACTAGACACAGAAGACATTCAACCTTTGCTGCCCATGACACTGGGTTTCTTCCTTCAATCCACATCCTGCCCATGCCTAAGAAAGCCCCAGGGACAAGTCCGTGATGAGGGGAAATGCTCATTCAGGGGCATGAAATTTTTAAGGTTTATCCAGCCCCCAGCAAGAACGTGTTCTCCTTCAGAATATTCAAGGAGAGCTTCTTGGTGGCAAAATGAAAGGTCAACATGTGATATTAGCTTTCTTCCACCCTCGTTCATGACTAAAAGTGTACCAGATTGCAACTAGATTTGGGCTATATTGACAAATTAAAGAGCAGTTCAGAAAAAGTTTTGCCTTTCCCACTTGCCCCATAGCAACTCTTTGTCTGGCATGACATTGAAGGTGAAAGTCAAGGCTAAACACAGGAGAAAGGAGATGGGAGACAGTGTCCCCCATGGGGGCTTCAGAGCCAGACACACTGACTAATGTCCTGGCTCTGTTGCTAGCCAGCCTTGTGTCCCTGGGCAGGGCAGGTCAGCTTCCTTAGTCTCACCCTCACTGTCATCAAAAGGCCCCCACATACCTGGGCTTCATATCATTGGCTGGAATTTTAAAGAAGAAAACAGGCATTCAGAACTGATTCACCAGCCCCATTCCCTACTATATGTTTAAGGAATATACCCCAATTGCCTGATATTTCTTTCTCAAGAATTCTTTCACAAGAAACACCAAGGAGACTTGGCTACCAACAATCCCTCCAAATGTGAACACTGTCTGATAACACTATTTTACATCAGCAGTCTTGAAAAACTTTTCTTCCTTGTGTGATCCCTAAGAGAAATTGAAAAAATGACGCCCCCTTTTAACATATTTTTAGCATAATGTCTAAACATTTTAAAGTACATTGAGATAACCGCAAAGGATGTAATTTCAGGTGTAATGTCTATTACACCCAAGCTTTGAATATATTTTTTGACAAAATCTTTGAGATTCAAATAATTCCATTCATGGAAAATTATCCTATAAACGACATGGCAAGCAAGGTGTGTTCTCAAGCAGACCAAGTTTAGGAAAGATGACGGGCAGGTGCTAAAGACACCGTTACAAATATGCAAACCGGCCAGGCACCATGGCTCACGCCTGTAATCCCAGCACTTTGGGAGGCTGAGATGGGTGGATCAGGAGGTCAGGAGTTCGAGACCAGCCTGGCCAAGATGGTGAAACCCCATCTCTACTAAAAAATACAAAAATTAGCTGGGTGTGGTGGCGGAAGCCTGTAATCCCAGCTAGTCAGGAGGCTGAGGCAGGAGAATTACTTGAATCCGGGAGGCGGAGATTGCAGTGAGACAAGATTGCACCACTGCACTCCAGCCTGGGTGACAGAGTGAGACTCTGTCTCAAAAAATAAAAAATAAAAATAAAAAAAATATGCAAACCGTGTCCCCTCAGTTAAAAGTCCATTGGTTATATCTCCTCCTGTGCTTGGTCCTTAGCTGTTTAGATTTCCTACTGACACTCGGGGAACTGATCGGAAAAGAGGATCACAGAGTACACCTATGGATTTGACACTCAGAACACATCATTTTTAACATCCTCTCTTTACTGACAACAGCCAATAAGTGATCTTTAATAAAACTGAAACGTATGCAAACAGTACAATTTAGGCAACCACTAAATTATACTAGTAAGTAACATAAGGTTAAATTTTCTAAAATTTCTTTTTCTTTCACTTTTAAAACCAAAAGATAGGAAAAAACATACATTTCATTTTAAAAGATACTTCTAACATTCAATAACTATTCTCATGTGTGGACTGAAATGTATATTTACCAAACAAAAAGAGTGTGTCTTGCACTTGTCACTTTCACTTTAACAATTTTCAAATGCAACAGTAAAATGCAAATATAAACTCCAAGTGGCCACACCGAGTGACAACATTGAAATAACTTACGTTCTGTTTTTTCATCTTTTCCATCACCATGCCCCAGTGTTTATTTTAACTTATTTTTTTAAAAGTACCATACAGGTCTGAGACATGCCCTGTGCCCAGTTCCACCCTGTTAGGCACTTATTATACGATCAAAACGTGTGTGTGTCACTGAGTGTGCTGGCAGTCCCTGTGCAACTCTTGGTTCTCTGAGTTAACGTCCATGTAGAATATAATATGCTGATTTGAAGCTTACAGATATATTATTACAATGCAAAAGTAACTGTAGCAATTCAGTACTCTTAGATCAACAAAATAATTTCTAGGGGAGGAATATTTTCATGCTAACACTGTTTAGAATTGCATAGTGATAACATACAGCAGATCAAATTTTGTTCAGTTTTATTATTACGTTTAAAATCTCTACCGTCCCCCCCCACCCTTTGAAAGCCTGCATTTACCGTAGATGGCTCCTACAACTCTGCCCTTTCTTCACCAGTAGAGGATAAATGCCCATTCTTGAGAAAGAGTAAAACAGAAGGAATTAAGTGAGAGAAATTAGTACTGAAGATGAAGTTCTCTGCTTTTTTCCTTCACAATCCTACTTAAGAACGGGACCGGTGACCCATAATGGAGGGTATCAGCTCCATGCAGAAATACTGTCTGTTTATGCCTGTTAATAAGCAGAATGGATGATAATTGGATAATAACTAGAGCGCAGCCGAATGGATCACGTTGCAGGTTTACAGAATCTTGACAGTGTGGGTGAGACACACAACACCCAAAATAATACAGTCTGTTTGAAAATACATAAGATGGAATAATGTTCAATCGTCTCCTGTCTACTAAAAGCCCAGTTAGATTTATGAGTCGGCACAATCCAAAAAAGCACAGTAAAGTCAAATTCATCTTCTGCAAGTAAATGTGTTCATTTAGTCCCACCTCGTGATACACCTTTATTTTATATTCCTTTAAAATCAATCTTTCTCCCTCTCCCATCCACACACATACTAGTGTGTTTGTGTGTATATATATATATATATATATATATATATATATATATGTACAATTTTTTCATGGCTGTAAATATAGTATATATGTTTATATAACTGTAAACTCTTGAAAAAATTTTAATTGCAAAATGCAACATAAGCATATATGTAAAAGTATAAAGATGTATTCTAAAATAATAAAGGTACCCACCACCCAGTAAAAAGAAGAAAACATTATGAGTATACTTTGAGATTGATACCGAGTACCTCCACACCTAAACATTTCTTGTTGTCTACTTTCCCCACAAAAGTTAGTCCTCCTTTTCAAGTATGTATTTTTACCATTTAACCAAATATGCATGAATCACTAAATAATACAATGCTTACTTTTGCCTGATTTTAAACTTTACATAATTGGGATCATGAGATATCCTGTGCTTATTCTCAGGAATATTGTTTTTGAATTGTATCCTTGTTAAAGCCTATAGCTAATTCATTTGTATAATTCTACCATATGACTATAATGTGCTTTCTCTTTCCATTCTAGAGCCAAACGTCATGCCTGGATTATTCCAGAATTTTGCTGCTACGAACAATGCTGCTAAGATGAGTGTCTTCAATCACTTGCACAATTGTTTCTCTAGTCTATAATATATTCCTTGGAGTGGAGATGCCAAGTCATAAATATGTAAGAGTTCAACTTCCATAGGCATCACCACAACGTTTTCCAATGTGGTTTGCGAATGCACACTTCCACCAGCATTCGATTAGCATTCCCTTTGTTCCACACACTTGTGCATACCTGGCATGGTCAGAGTCTAATTTTTTCCAGTTTAGTGAATTAAAATGATATCTCACTGTAGTTTTAATTAATTTGCATTTTCATGATTATTAATGACATTGAGCAACTGTTGTATGCTTATTGGTCATGTATATTTTCTCTTCTATGAAATGTTTGTTCATGGTTTTGCTCATTTTTCTATGGCATTGTTTGTTGTTTTCTCAATTTTTAGAAGTCTTTTATATATTCATGATTCTAATGCTTTGTTGGTGTGTGCTGCAAATATCTTCTTCCAATTGTGGCTTCTTTTTACTTTAATAGATCTTTTGATGAGCATAAGTTTTAAATTTTATTAATGCAGGTGACTAAATTTTAATATTCTACATGACTTTAATTAATTTCAACTTAAAAAGCTATGCAGAAGAATGGCTTTTTAAGAAGCCATTCTTCTGCATCTGGATATCCAGTTTTCCCAGCAACATTTATTTTAAGACACTGTTTTTTTGCCCCAGTGAGTGTTCTTACCAGTCTAAAACTACTAAGTAGCTTTACCATTTTTCCGAACAATAGAGGACGTTTATATCCTTTCCCAATTTGCATGCTCTTATTTTCCAGTAGTTAGAAGTCACTTGGGTTCTTATTAACTCCTCATAGTGGATATTATTGCTTTTTCTTTATACAGTCCATGATTGTTTAGATTAAGCCCCACTTACCACAGTATTTATCATTCCTTTTGATATCTCAAACTTTCATCCTGAGATAATTTTTCTTCTTCCTAAAATATATTTTGTAGACATTTCTTTGGTAAAGATAGGGTAGTGATACATTCCTTTCACTTCTTTTGCATGATAATTTTGCTCTTGTTGAAAGATAGTTTCATTACATGTAGAATTCTAATTGTTATTTTATCAGAGCACATGAAAGATGGTCTTCTACTGCCTTGTAGCGTCCATTTTTACATAGAAGTTAGCTGTCAGTCGTTTTTTGATAGGCAATCTGTCTTTTATTTCTAGTTGTTTTATTTTATTTAAAAAATTGATGTAAAAATTGTACATATTTATGGGGTACATAGTGATGTTTTGATACATATAATGCATAGTGATCAGATTGGAGTAATTAGCATAGTCTATCATCTCAAACATTTATCTTTTTTTGTGTTGAAAACATTCAATATTCTCCATCTAGCTATTTGAAACTATATATTATTGTTAATTAGAGTTATTCTACAGTGCTATAGAGCACTAGAACTTACTTCTATCTGTAATTTTGTATCCTTTAACAACTCTCTCCCCCTCTCTACCCTTCTCAACCTCTAGTATCCTCTGCTCTACTTTCTACTTCTATGAGATCAATATTTTTTAGCTTCCACATATGAGTGACAACATGTGGTATCTGCCTTATTTCACTTAGCATAATATCCTCCAGTTCCATCCATGTTGCCACAAATGACAGGATTTTATTCTTTTCCTTAGCCTAATAGTATTCCGTCACATATACCTATATATTCATACCACATTTTCTTTGTTCATCCATCTATTGTTGGACACCCTAGGTTGATTCCATATCTTGGCTATATAATAGTGCTGCAATAAGCATGGGGGTGTAGATGTCCCTTTGATATACTGATTTCCTTCCCTTTGCATAAATGTCCAGTAGTGGAATTGCTGGATGCTATAGTAGTTCTATTTTTAGTGTTTTGAGGAACCTCCATACTGTTCTCCATAGTGGCTCTACTAGTTTACATCCCCATCAACAGTGCATAAGTTCCCTTTTCTCTGCATTCTTGCCAGCATTTGTTATTTTTGTCTTTATGATAATAGCCATCCTGACTGGGGTAAAATGATACCTCATTGTGGTTTTGATTGGCATTTCCCTGATGATTCATGATGTTGAACACTTGTTTCATGTATTTTTTGGTCACTTGTATGTCTTCTTTTGAGAAATGCCTGTTTAGATTATTTGCCCATTTTAAAATTGGATTGTTCGGTTTTTTTTTTTTGCTGTCAAGATATTTGAGTTCCTTGCATATTCTGGATATTGACCTCCTGTCAGATGAAAAGTTTGAATATATTTTCTCTCATTCTGTAAGATGTCTTCTCATTCTTGTTTCCTTTACTGTACAGAAGCTTTTTAGTTTGATATAATCCCATTTGTTTATTTTTGCTTTTGTAGTCTGTGCCAGTGGGGTCTTATTCATAAAATCTTTTCCCAGGCCAATGTCCTGAAGCATTTCTCCTATGTTTTCTTGTACTAGTTTTATATTTTCAGATTTTGCATTTAGGTCTTTGATCCATTTTGAGTTGGCTTTAGTATAGGATGAGAGATGAGCGTCTAGTTTCATTCTTCTGTATATGGATATCTGATTTTTTGGGGACCATTTATTTAAGATACTGTTTTGTTTTGCCTCAGTGAGTGTTCTTCACATCTTTGTCAAAAATCAGTTGGCTATAGATATGTGGATTAATTTCTGGGTTCTCTTCTGCTCTATTGGTCTCTGTGTCTATTCTTATAACAGTACCATGCTGTTTTGGTTACTACAGCTTTGTAGTATATTTTGAAGTCTAGCAGTGTGATACCTCTAACTATGTTCTTTTCGCTGAGGATTGCCTTGGCTATTCATGGTCTTTTGTGGTTCCATGTACATTTTTATGATTCTTTCTATTTCTGTGAAGAATATCATTATTTTGGTAGAGATTGCATTGAATCCATAGTTTGTTTTGGGTAGTATGGTCATTTTAACAATGTTAATTCTTCTTATCCATGAGCATGAGATGTCTTTCCATTTGTATCCTCTTCAACTTCTTTCATCAGTGTTTTGTAGTTTTCCTTACAAAGGTCTTTCATTTCTGTGGTTAAGTTTATTCCTAGGTTTTTTTTAAATGTAACTATTGTAAGTAGGATTGCCTTTTTGATTTCTTTTTCATTAGTTCATTGTTCAAGTACAGAAACACTACTGATCTTTGTATGTTGATTTTGTAACCTGCAACTTTACTGAATTCACTTATCAGTTCTAAGAGTTTTTTGATATAGCCTTTAGGTTTTTCTACATATAAGTTCATGTGCCTGCAAACAGAGACAATTTGATTTCCTCCTTTCCAATTTGGATGCCCTTTATTTATTTTTTTGCCAATTGCTCTGGCTAGGGCTTCCATTACTATGTTGAATAAGAATGGTAAGAGTGGGCATCCTTGTCTTTTTCCAGTTCTTAGTGAAAAAGCTTTAAAGATTTCCCCATTCAGTACCATGTTAGCTGTGGGTTTATCATATGTGGCCTTTATTATGTTAAGGTACTTTCCTTCTATACCATCTTAATTGAGAGTTTTTATCATGATGGGATGTTGAATTGTATTGAATGCTTTTTCTCCATCTTTGGAGACAATCACATAACTTTTGTGTTTCATTCTATGGATGTGATGTATTATATTTATTGATTTGCATATGTTGAATCATCCTTGCATTCATGAGATAAATCCTACTTGATCATGGTGTATTATCTTTTTGATGTGTTGTTGGATTTGGTTTGTATTTTGTTGAGGATTTTTGTGTCTATGTTCATTAAGGATATTAACCTGTATAACCTTTTTCATTTTTTGGTTGCATCCTTATCTAGTTAGTTACACTGGTCTCATAGAATGAGTTAGGAAAAATTTCCTCTACTTCAAATTTTTGGAATAGTTTAAGAAAAATTAGCATTAATTTTCTTCAAGGGTTTGGTAGATTTCAGCAGTGAAGCCATCCAATTCTGGGCTTTTCTTTTTTGGGAAACTTTTTATTACTGATTTAATCTTATTACTTGTTATTGACCTATTCAGGTTTTCTATTTCTTCTTGGTTCAATCTTGATAGGTTGTATGTGTTCAGGAATTTATTTCCTCTAGGTTTTTAAATTTACTGGCATGGAGTTGTTCATTATAGTCTCTAACGATCCTTTGTATTTCTGTGGTATTCATTGTGATGTTTCCTTTTTCATTTCTGATTTATTTGAGTCTTCTCTTTTTTTCATTGTGTAGCTAAAGGTTTTTAAAATTTTGTTTTTCTTTTCCAAAACCAACTTTTTATTTCATTGATCTTTTGTATTTTTTCCTTCAGTTTCAATATTGTTCATTTCTGCTCTGATCTTTATCATTTCTTTCCTACTAACTTTGGATTGGTTTGTTCTCAGTTTTCTGGTTTCTGGAGATGCATCTCAAGTTGATGATTTGAAATCTTTTTAGTTTTTCAACCTAGGAATTTATTGCTATAAACTTGCCTGTAATATAGCTTTTGCTGTGTCCCGTACGTTTTGGTATGTTGTGTTTCTATTTACATTTGTTTCAAGGAATTTTTAAATTTCACTTTAAATTTTTTCCTTCACTCACTGGTCACTCAGGAGCAGGTTACTTTTTGTGTATTTGTATAGTTTCAAATGTCCCTCTTGTTACTGATATCCAGTTTTATTCCATTGCGGTCAGATTAAATACTTGATAAAATTTCAATATTTTTTTGGAGATAGAGTCTCACTCTATTGCCCAGGATGGAGTGCAGAGGCATGATCATGGCTCACTGCATCCTTACTGCAACCCTCTTGGGCTCAAGAGAGCCTCCCACCTCAGCCGCCTGAGTAGCTGGGACCACAGGTGTGCAGCACCACGGGTGGTTAATTTTTTAATCTTTTGTAGAGACAAAGCCTCACTATGTTGTCCAGGCTGGTCTCAAACTCTTGGGCTCAAACAATCCTCCTGCATTGTCTTCCCAAAGTGCTGGGATTATAGTGCTGGGATTACACCATGCCTGGCCATAATTTTGATTTTGAAAAGCTTTTTGAGATTTGTTTTGTGTCCTAATATACGGTCAAGCCTGGAGAATGTTCCACGTGCTGATGAAAAAAAATGCATATTCTGCAGCTATTGGGTGAAATATTCTGTAAATGTCGTTAGGTTTATATTATTTGGTCTATAGTGCAGTTTAAATCTGATGTTTCTTTGTTGATTTTCTGTGTAGATGATCTGTCGAAGGCTGAGAGTGGGGTGTTAAAGTCCCCAACTATTATTGTATTGTAGTCTATCTCTCCCTTTAGATCTAATAATATTTGCTTTATATATCTAGGTGCCCTAGTGTTAAGTGTATATGTTTACAATTGTTATATTCTCTTGCTGAATTAATCTCTTCGTCATCATATAATGCCCTTGTCTCTTTTTGTAGCTTTTGTCTTGAAGTGTGTTTTGTCTGATATAAGTACAGCTACTCTGCTTGCTTTTGGTTTCTGTTTGCATGGAGTATCTTTTTCCATCACTTCACTTTCAGTCTATTTGTGTCTTTATAGGTGAGATGAGTTTCTTGTGGGCTGTATATTGTATCTTGTATTTTTAATCTGTTCAGTCAGTCTACATCTAAATGGAGATTTTAATCTATTTACATTCAAGGTTATTATTGATCGGTGAGGACTTTTATCATCCTATCGATTTCTTTTTACTTGTTTTGTATATCCTTTGTTCCTTACTTCCTCTCTTATTTTTGCAGTTGGGTGTTTTTCTGTAGTGATATGGTCTGATTCTTTTTCTTTCTCCTTTGTGTATTGGCTCCATCAATAAGTTTTATAGTTCTGCATGCTTTCATGACAGTGGTTATTGTCTTTTCGCTTCTAGATGTAAGACTCTCTTAAGCGTTTCTTGTAAGGTTGGTCTAGTGGTGATGAATTTTCTTAATTTTTGCTTGTCTGCGAAAATTTTTATTTCTCCTTCATTTCTAAAGAATGGCTTTGCTGGGCATAATATTGAATGGCAAGTTTTATTTTTTTTCTTTCACTACTTTGACTTTATCATTCTATTCTTTCCTGGCCTACATGGTTTCTGATGAGAAATCTGCTATCAATCTGATGGAGATTACCTTATATGTGACTTGAAGCTTTTCTTTTGCTGTTTGTCTTTGACTTTTGACAATTTGACTAAAATGTGCCTCAGAGAGGACCTGTGGGGATTATATCTATTTGGGGTTCTTTGAGCTTCCTGGATCTTTCTCCCAAGACTTGGAAAGTTTTCACGTATTATTTCATTAAATATGTTTTCTGCACCTTTTCCCTTCTCTTCTTCCAGAATGTCCACAATGCAAATATTTGTTCACTTAATGATATCCCATAAATCCTTTGACTTAATTCCTTTTTATTATTTATTTAATTTCATCTATTTGTTTGCCTGTATTATTTCAAAATACCTGTCTTCAAGTAAGAACAAATTCTGCTTGGTCTAGTCTGGTGTTGAAGTTCTCAATTGTATTTTTTATTTCACTCATTGAGTTCTTCAGCCATAGAATTTGGTTCATTTTAAATGATATCTATCTCTGTTGAATTTCTCATTAAAATAATGACTTATTGTTTTCATGATTTCATTGAATATATTTTCTTATATTTCACTGAATTTGTTTAGAATTATTATTTTGAATTCTTTTTCTGTCATTTCATTTATTTCCTTATGATTGGGGTTTATTACTAGGGAATTATTGTGTTCCTTTGGAGGTCTGTTTCCTTGCTTTTTCATGTTTATTGTGTCCCTACATTGATTTCTACACATCTGATGAAACAGTCACCTCTTCCAATTTTATGGAGTAGGTTTAATAGGAAAAGATTTATTCATTTATGTGGGTGTTGGGGTGTGGGCTCAATGCAGTGCATTGGCTTTGCTTCTGGGTAGACACAGTAGTATAGTCTCCAGTAGTTTCTTAAGCTGTAATCCATACTAGCGATATTTATGAATGTCTCAGTGGCCTAGGCTTAGACAGTTTGTGCTGGTAGCGGTGCAACTTTTCCAGAGGTGGGCTTGCTGAGCTGTTGCTCAGATTGGAGGCATATGTCTGCACACAGTGGGTCAGCTTTCTTGGGGTCTGGCTCACTGGGGTTGGGACCACAGGGCTGTTACTCTGTCTAGGGGCACATGGTTTCTCAGCTGGCCTGGGGGCATGCTTGCCAGGAGCAGTCTGTGGGGCTCTTTCTCAGGCCCAGGACATGGGTGCACAGCTGCTCAGCCAGCCTAGGGACGTGTCTGCCAGGGGTGGCCCATGGTGCTGTTTCTCAGGCTTGGAACACAGGTGAAGTCTCCTCAGCTGGCCCTCTCTAGTCATTTTGAAGATTCTTTTTGTGTTTAGTGTTCTGAAATTTGACATCAATGTAGCTAGATATAGATTTGTTTTCATTTTATCCTGCTTGGAATTTTTTTGGCTTTTGGAACCCGATGCTTTTAATCCACTCAGAAAAACTGTCAACTATTAGATCTTTAAATTTGGAAGGAAATAATAAAGACAATGGGGAAGAATTGCTCTTCCCATTTTCTCTGTTATTTACTTCTCAAAATTTGGTTAGATGTTAGAATTTATCACTCTCTTCTTCAAGTCTTTTAACCTCTCTTTCATATTATTTGTTTCTGCCTTTCCGTGATACATTCTGAGTACTTTTATCTGCTTTATCTTCTAGTTTATCAACTCTTTGTTTAGCTGTGTCAAATCTGCTGTTTAATGTTTCTATTAAGTCTCTAATTTCAATTATATTTTTCATTTGCAGAGATTCCATTTGGCTACTTATCAAAGCTTCTAGTCCTTTTTGAGAATCCTTAATCCTCTTTTCTTCAACATACTTCCAGTACTCTCTTATTTCTTTAAAAACATTATGTTAAGCATATGGAACTGCAGATAGTTACCAGCTTTGACCTATAAAAATGGCAATTTCGTATGATCTAATAATTATTCTATAATCTGAATATAATTACAATGTCTGCAATCTTTATGTGTTGGATTCTGCCATTTGTGCTCTTTGCTGACTTATCCTTATGTTGTTTTGTTTTCTTATGTTTCCAGTGACTTTTGTTTTTATCTGGAAATTTTTTTGTTCTGTATTTAATGTGTGCTTCTCCAGAGAGGAGATGTGTTTGCTTCTTCCTGGTAGCTGGGGGCAGTACTGAAATAGAGAAAGTTTAAATTTTTTATGGCTGCATAGTATTCCATGGTGTATATGTGCCACATTTTCTTAATCCAGTCTATCATTGATGGACATTAGGGTTGGCTCCAACTCTTTGCTATTGTGAATAATGCCGTCCTTTGTAGGGACATGGATGAAGCTGGAAACCATCATTCTCAGCAAACTATTGCAGGGACAGAAAACCAAACACCACATGTTCTCACTCATAGGTAGGAATTGAACAATGAGAACACATGGACACAGGAAGGGGAACATCCCACACCACGGCCTGTCGTGGGGTGGGGGGAGGGGGGAGGGATAGCATTAGGAGAAATACCTAATATAAATGACGAGTTAATGGGTGCAGCACACCAACATGGCACATGTATACATATGTAACAAACCTGCATGTTGTGCACATGTACCCTAGAACTTAAAGTATTTTAAAAAAAGAAATAAATGTAGATACAGTTGGTGTTCAGTTTCAACAACATTCTGATTTTAAATTCCTTTGGATAGCCTTTTTAAAAATATCAAATGATTAATTTTATAAAACTTCATTGTTTATATCTATAATTACAAAATTATATTTTAAACTTTCTGTAGTCTTTTAAAAAAAGACTATCAAATGATTGTTATAAAAATTGTTTTCATAATTTTATATATTTGTATTATAAAACTTGCATTTTTTCATCATTAAATCTTTACTGAGTGGGGGAAAAAAAAAGACAATTTAAATTTTTGCTTGAATTTTTGGGCCACATGGGGTTTAGTGAGACACGCCAACAAGAATAGACTTAGAATTTGGAATTAGGAATTTTCTAGGGAGACTTTTTCTCCTGTCTTTCACCTATTAATAGCCAAAGACAAAACGATTATTTCCATCATCTCCTTCTCTAAAGCCTTCTCCCCCTACTCATCTAATAATCGTATTGCTCTTCAGGAGTCTCTGAACTGACTGCCACCCTACTCAATTTTTTTACTTGATACTCATATAGGCTTTTAAAATTCATGCCCTAGACTACCCAGGATGGACAGATGTCCTCTGAGAAAAGACTAATCTAAAACGAGTCTACTTTCCTGAATTCTCACTTTCTATTTTAAGGCCTCTAAAAATTTCCCTTACTTTCTTACCAGTTCAGTGTTCTGCCCCAATGGGTATTGTTATGGCTGTGTGACCAGAACAATATTTGGCTGTATGACAAGAACAAAACAGAAGTCCTAGTCTCTTTGTCACTAGGTATTATATCCAGTTTCTTGAACAATATGAACTCGATGAGGTACCAATGGGAAATAATTTTACTTTTCCCTTATGACATCTTGAGCAGACCCTTTAGCTTTCTGGTCACTTGCAATTTAGTCCAGTTTAAAATTTAAATCCCATTTTATCTTCTATTTTTTTTCCCTTCACAGCTTTGTCTAGAGGACCTAGACAGGAAAAGGGTGGGCTCGGCTTCCTCTTTTCCTCTCTTTCTCTGTCTTCTGTCTCCATGATGATGCTCCCTTGACCCTCCAAGAGTCACAGGGATCCTGGGGGTGGGGAGGTCAGTGTTCCATATATTTCTCCTTAAGCATCACACTACAATATGGGCCCTATTTGCCTTTTGGTGTGGGCTGCCCCATGCAGCCTCTTAGCCTCAAGAGTCTCAGTTCATATACATCCACAAACTCTGGCAAATGGCCCATGAACTTTTCCATATTTTCCTCTCTGGCAGCAGAAGCAAGGATGAGCTATGGGTTCAACAGCTCAGCAAGAATCCAATCAGTGAGAAGGTTAACACCCTGCTTCTTGTAGGACCCCTAATCATCACCAGTGATTTCCCTGGAGCCCTCCTCATTTGGCTTAGTGGGAGGAAAAATTTAGATTTAGAAAGTGTTCTTTAGGAAAACCTATGAACTGTGACTCTATAGAGTGTCCTCTTTTGACTCCCAACCTACCCTACACCCAACCTAGAAGTTTACTTTTATACCTGGATAAATGTGGGAGGTTTTAGACAATTTTGATAGTCAACAAATGCCATCAGTGATAAGCTCAAATGTTTCTGCCATTAATTCTTATAAAAAATAATATTCTAGGGGCATATTATCTGAGGAACATACAGGATAGATCGCTGTAGAAAATCCTGAGCCAATGATTTCCTTCTTGGATCTAGAAAATGGTGTCATAGAACCTGAATTAAGTGTTGGAATTTAAATTTTATATAAAAATGACTTCAAATTTCCTGTGGCTGCAACTGATGGTAGAATTAGACTTTATTTGTACAAAACATGCCTTATTAAAGTCAACGTGTTTAAGGAGAACAAAGCCTATATAAATGATACAGCAATAACTTCTAAATTTAGCTTTTAAAGTTTTGTATATATAATACGTGGCATAATTATATTAACATGTCAGTAACAACGTTTTGTGTTTAAAGCTTTTATCTGGCACCAATGTCTTCAGAACAGAGTAACAAATTCAACTGCACAAGGAGCTAAGCTGAAAACTAATGTTCTCCTTGCTCATAATGTGTATACACTTTCTGTCAGAAACACGATTTTGTTAGGGTCTTCCCACCAGCATCTCATCCAGCGATTTTAGTGTATAGAATTCCATGCTGCGACCGATGATACAGTGAAATCCATAGTCACTGTTGCTCCAGAGCATGATGTCCACTGCAGTTTCCCAGTTCCTTCTCTAAAAAAGAGTCAGTGATCCCGGGTCAGCTACACTAAATCTGGATTTCATTCTCTTCTCAAATTTTATCTTATTGGAAACAGAATGTTTTATTTAATTAATTTCTTTTGAGATGGAGTTTCACTCTTGTTGCCCAGGCTGGAGTGCAATGGTGCGATCTCGGCTCACTGCAACCTCTGCCTCCCAGGTTCAAGCAATTCTCCTGCTTCAGCCTCCTGAGCAGCTAGGATTACAGGCATGCGCCACCATGACTGGCTAATTTTGTATCTTTAGTAGAGACGGGGTTTCTCCATGTTAGTCAGGCTGGTCTCGAACTCCCAACCTCAGGTGATCCGCCCGCCTTGGCCTCCAAAAGTGCTGCGATTATAGGCATGAGCCACCATGCCCGGCCCAGAATTTTTTAATAGAAACGTTTAAAAAGAAATTTTAGAGTACAATTAGGGGTTTGTATGGTATATTTTGACTTTTAATAAACTGCCTGTCTTTTCCTTCCTTCATTCCACTTAGCATTTTTTCTTCCAGGAGAAAAAAATCAAACAAGGAAAAATGTTGAAAAGATGAATTAATGCGACATTTAGAGTAAGATTTTAATGACACAAAGGCCAGGAGCATCAGAGATATGCCTTTGCTTTCACAGTTATAAGTTGACAGGATTTTAAGAGGTTGTTACTAAAGTGAATCCCATAAGAAGAAAAATTCATACATTTAAATAAAACATGTTACAGTGAAGTTACATTTGTTAAGGCAACCACAGCATAATCAATATTTAATTAAGCACTGTCATTTTCAGAGTTGGCCCTAAAAAAGCCACACCCTTCCTTCCATCAGTATTGGCTGTGCTACAAATGTTTTTGGAAATGCTCTTTGGAAATAAACTTATGAAACAGCTTTTAAGGACAACAAGAAAACTGACTTCATTTACCCAGAGTCACACCTTATTTAAACCACAATTGGCATTTCCCTCTTTAATTACAGACTTTATTCACCGAACTGACTTCAAATTACTTTTTGTAAAACAAAAGGAAAAAGGAAAAGGAAAGCTATTTTTATTGTGAAATATTATACAAACAGAAAAGTGCTAAGAAGAAATACTGTGGGAACAGTTTACATTATTTTAATCATGTTACCATGATTGATGTTAAAAAATTTTTTTTTCAACACTCTGGTAGTCTCTTGCAGGTACTGTCCCAATCACAATATACTCCCTGCCCCTTAGAGGTAAACAGTAATCACTGCCCATCATAAATTTGTTTAATATAGTTGCTGCCTTGACATCCATTTTTAGGCCTAACACATGTTTACCCTGATGTACCTCATCACCTTTGGCCTTGTTAAAACGTCCCCTCCCCGTGCGGTTAAGATGTAGCCTCCTTGTTCCTCATCTCCCTGACCCAAACCTGACACAGCCCACAGCTGCTGACCATGGTAAAACCTAATAGTCAATACCAGAGTCAGGTAAATAAGCTCTCATCTTTGCATGTGTTTTCTTTAAACTAGCAAATCCACAACCCCTATGGCATAGGAGATAATGTCCATGGGCCTTAATAAAGGCATCGTCTGACAGGTGCTCTCTTGGATTACCAAATGTCCCCAGGGCAAAAACAGCACCCAAGGCCACCATCATATCTATGGATGTTTATGTTAGCATGAATCTTGGCCCAGTAACTCTTTATTCTCTTGTTAACTCTCCAGTGACATCAAGTGAATTTTTTTTTTTTTTACCAGATTTTGTAATTGTTCTCATTCAGACAGTTGGTCTGAGTAGGCTAGTCTACCATTCTCCAAAGCAGAATCTCCAAATCAATTTTGATTATATAAATGTATATATGGTTATGAATTCATGGCTTTGCTTCTGTTGAGGATATTTAAACAAGTTCTAAAAGCTCTTACTGGAGAAAAAAATCTGAAAAAATCAAAGCAATGGAAGCATTACTGAAATAAATATACCACTTTTCGAAGTGAATATTTTAAGAGATTATTTTATGTATGTATAAATTTTGGCATACTAATTAAGAATAAATTTTATTTTATAACTAATTGATTTAATTCCATCACGAACGTGGAAATAATATGATTAGTTATGATATCCAAAAGATATTTTAAACTACATTAGACCTGGACAAATACAATTTATAACTTTATTAAGCAATTTAAGCTGAATGCTTATTAAATAATTCTACTACATAAGTTCATGTTAGTATAATTTGCTTTCAAAATTAATATTATAATCTATATTTTTTCAAATAAAACTTTGGAAGAAAACTAAATTTTTGCTTGTTTCTTTTTTCAGTTAATGAATCACAATTTTTCTAAAAAAAATCATTGTGTCATCTACTTTAAACTATAATGTGCTTAGTGTAATTTTGGCACTGTATTAGTTTTCTATGGCTGCTGCAACAAATCACCACAAACTTTGTGGCTTAAAACAAGAGAAATTTATTATCTCACAGTTCTGGAGGCCAGAAGTCCACAGTTGGTTTCACCAGGCCACAATCAAGGTGATGGCAGGGCCATACTTGCTCTGGAGGTGCTAAGGAATCTTCTGGTGGCTGCTGGCATCCTTGGCTTCTGGCCACATCATTCTAATCTCTGCCTCTGAGGCCATATGGCCTTCTCCTCTTCTTTCTATACTAAATTTTCCTCAGACTCTCATTTGTAAGGATACATGTCATTGTATTTAGGGCACACCCAGATAATCTAGGACAAGCTTGTCCAACCCATGGCCCATGGGCCACATGTGGCTCAGGATGGCTTTGAATGTAGCCTAACACAAATTAGTCAATTTTCTTAAAACATTATGAGATTTTTGTGTGTGTGTGTGATTTTTTTTTCTAGTTCATCAGCTATCGTTAGTGTTAGTGCATTTTATGTGTGGCCCAAGAGAATTCTTCTTCCAGTGTGGCCCAGGGAAGTCAAAAGATTAGACACCCTGATCTAGAATAACCTACCCATATGAAGATACTTAATGTAACCATACCTTCAAAGACCCTTTATCAACAAATGTTTACAGATGTAAAGAACTAGAAGCTGATATTTTGGGGGGCCATTATTCAGCCCTCTACATGCATCCAACAAATTATCTCTATTTTGAGGCATTTTTAAAGTTCTTCCTTCCAGTGATACAGAAGCAGAAGAAGAGTAACAAAGACTAAGAATACTGATTAACTTTGGGCAATTCTCAGGGAATTACTAATTTGGGAAATCTATTTCTCTATTTGTGAGAAAGAGATAGAATTGGGATGAATGAATTGAAGCAAGAGGGAGGCAGGGAAGTTCATTATAAAAAAAGTTTCTAAAGGTCAAAGTTGTCCAAAGATGGAATGAGTGATGATGCCATCCATCATCGCACGTTATTAAAACAGAGGCTGTTTCTTGTTCTTTGGTTTTCTAATCTGGAAGTACCACAGTGCAATGGTTTGGATGTCCCCTCCAAAACTCATCTTGAAATTTAATTACCACAGTAACAATATTAAGAGATGGGATCATTAATGAATGACTAGATCATGAGGGTTCCATGAGGTAGATTCAGTTAGAACATCTTGAGAAAAAGTGAGAAGCATTAACTACAGAATGAATTAATGCAGTTATCCTAGGAGTGGGTTAGCTATCCAAGGAGTGGGTTCCCAATAAAAAGGCTGAGTTTGCACCCCCCATCCCCAGTTCACACACATGCACCTTCCATTTTCTGCCTACTGCCATGGGATATCCCTCATTAGATGCTGGCACCATGCTTTTGGACTTCCCAGACCCTAAAACTGTGAGAAATACATTTCTCTCTTCTTTGCCCAGTCTGTGGCATTCTGTTACAACAGCAGAAGACAGACTGAGACACACATCTTAAGACAAAACTGGTGGCCTAAATTAACTCAGAGGTAGATTCAGTTAGAACATCGTGAGAAAAAGTGAAAAGAATTAACTTCAGACAGGCCTTTATACATATCCTGTGAAGAATCTCAGAAGATCAGAGTCAGAATGGACTACAAATATCATTTAATCCAAACCTATCAATTAACAGGTGAGAAAACTGAGGCCCAAAGAGGTTGGTGACTAGCTCAAGGTCACACAGTGACCAACCCAGGTCACATAGGCTGTTTGGAGCCTAGACTCCAAACTGTATTGCCAAGAAACTGTAAGAATAATACTTTTAAATGTTTAGGTAAACATAAAGCTATTAAAAATAAATTTGTGGATAATGAAAAGACAGAAATGTATTCATAAAAAAATGTGTTAAGTAAAATAAAAATGCATGTATATACCTTGGATATTTTCTGAAAATTATTTGTGCAAGAAAATTTCATAAGGAAGAGCTAGGTGGGCATAATTTTAATCAAATCCATTCCTCTATTCTTTGTGATACAGAGGTAGAATTGGGACTAATGCAGTGAAGCAAGAGGAGGCTGGTAGGTTTATTACAAAAAAAAAAGTTTCTCAAGGTCAAAGTTGTCCAAAGATGGAAGGAGAGATGACATCCATCATTGCAGATTGTTAAAACAGAGGCTAGAGAGCACTCTGTAGGGGTCTTACACATTCCCAAATTCATACAGGCTGTAGGAGATAAATATGAGAAGCTGCTGAAAATAGAGGATCCCGAGTCCAGACCCATGGGGATGTCCTGGAAATCTATTTTTAACAAGTTACACAAGTGATTCTCATGTTCAGGGAGAACGCATCAAACACCTTTAAGAAACTGCTGCAATCCAAGAGTCTATAATTTTGTGCATGAGATCATGGGAACAGTTTGCAATGGTAGTGAGGAATCCAGATTCCAGTCTTGGTTCTGTCCTTAACTGTGATTTTTGAGGACATTACATCATGTCTCTGGTACTCAATCTTCCTGACTGCAAGAATAAGTGAGACTAGATGCATCTTATGGCTCTTACATGCTAGGAATTTGTGTTTCTGAGGGTGGTCTGGAAGAAATAAATCTCCAAAGTCCCTGGAAAATTCTTCATGACATTCAGGTGATGGAGAATTATCCTGGAATGACTGTCTATGACAGCTGGGCAAAGCTGCACAATCTGGCTGCTTTCCTGGGGCTGGCAGGCATTCTGCCCAGGATATGTCTATCACCTGCAGGGCAGGTGGGGCGTGGATAGAGCTGGCACGCTGAGGTTGGAAACTCCGAAGACTCACCATCTTGGCTCCAGTGATCATCTTTGTTACCTACTTACTATTCAAAGAGGGTCTGAGGAGGTTGGTCTGTAGTCCTGAAAAGGGATTGGTAGGGTGGCTCTGAAGTACCCTTTCTGTGGGCACCTTGCTCAGAAATCTTAAGCTTCTGGAAGATGAGATGGTTTGTATGTGACTTCCCCTGCAAAAAGCCAATGAGCCTTGGACTTTGATCTGATGTTGGGTTCTTCTTTCTTCCGTATTTCCTTCTCTCTCCAATTCTCTATTTTTGCTCAGAAATATTTATTTGCTAAACCTCACCCCTTACAGCTCTTAATTTTTCACTTTCTAAGACAGAGATTATATTCTAATGGTTATCTCTTGTGTTTGGCCTTCTCCCAAACATATCTATCCCCTAACTCAGTGCATTTACTCCCTGGGCCAACCTTCCCAATCCCAACATTTCGAACCCACAGGTGAACCAACAGGCATTCCTTCTCCCTCTTCATCCCAGCAATACCTGTGAATTCACCTATGAGTTTGTCCTGATCTGAGCAGGGAAGATAATTTCCCTTACATATTGGTGGGAAAATTTCAAACTCAAAATCATAGAAGATGTGGGGTGGGTGAGCATGTTATCTCAAGGCTGGGTAGCAGATAGACTAATACATGGCTTATAGAAGAAGATGTGAAAATTATAGTTCCCAGTCATGACCCTGGAGTCCCGGGTCACTCAGACTCTGATGACTCCCAAATCCATACATATCTCTTACATAAAATGTTCTCCAGGACTTTGGCTCCTCACTTCCAAGTTTCTCCTAAACAGTGCTACCCAAATAACCCTTCAAAACCTCAAGCTTAGCATAATCAAGACTGATCTTGTGTCTTCTCTCCCAAACCCATAACTTCCTCAAGTCCTTATCTTGGGTATAGGAACCTCCTTTACCCAAAACAGGTTAGATGAATATAGGTTATTTTTATTCAATGTATTTATTTAAATTTATTAACATTTTTATTAGATATTTATTATTAATAAAGATGTAACCAATGAAGTTAGATCACACATATGAAAGCCAGAAAGACAAAGAAGAGAAACATTTGATGAGAAAAGGTTTTGCTTTCAGCACATAAGATCGAAACAGGTGCTTTCAGTCCAGGCTCTGTATGGATCCTTCAGGAATTCACCAAACAAATTTAATTTGTGAGATGGAAAGTCAAGAAATGCCTACCATCTCTTGTGTCACTGTTCCAACTGGTAGACATCGACACCTTAGGAAGGTTGTAAACAAACACACCACAAAGCCAGCTTTAAAGGGACTCGTGGACGAAATCACATCTCTTCAACTCTGATCTTTGTGTATCACTTGGTACAATGGTTCCCTTCTATGTCACCTGTGAATTCTGGAAAACTGGATATCAATTTTCTGCTCTGCTTATAGCTATACCTCCCCTGTTATCTCTATCCTCAGTACCCATAAATTATTTTTCCAAATTCACATTCCCCAGGTCTACAATTTTTCCTTTATCTCAGTTTTGACTTTTTTGGCAAGTACATTCTTTTTCTAGAATGTTCTCTTTATGCTCTAAAACTTTCCATTTAGAGTTTCTTGTCCAGGCTCATTTGATCCACTACAAAGGTACACATCCGCATATTGCTATGTGTTTGTTGATTTATTTGGTGTAGGTCATTAACAGTTGCTTCTCTTTTCGCCTTTGGGATGATCTGGATATGTTGGCAAAATTTTCAACTCAATGTGGTAACTTGACAGTGTAGAGACGGGCCTTGCAGCAAGATACTACTTTTTATCAACATTATTCTCTGACTTTCACTGTGTTGCTGAGAAAGTGGTGACAAGCAGCTTCCCAGAGCTTCTGAGAGTGACAGAGTCTTGGATGCACTGGGACATGCTCATGCATTCCTCATCAATATCATCTTTGGAAAGAAGCTTTCACCAGCAGACTGTCATCATCGTGCCATTGGTCTCCATCTTCTTGCCTTCTTCCATTGAAATCACTTGCTGTTTATTTAGCAAAGTCACATGTAGGTATGGACAGTACGTTATGTAGCAGTGCAAGAAATAAAGACACTGCTGATTAACCAGCCTTATAATGTCCATTATTCTTTCATCTTTACTTTCAATTTTTATTAAAGAACTGGGGTCCCAATAGAGAAGAGAAAAAGTTATTCCCCCAGCTGTTGCTGTTGAAATGGAAGCTCCAATGTTGGAGTATCTGCTGGTATCTGCTGGTTTGTGATGGGAAACTGGCTATTTCTCAAATGGCTAGAAAGTCTGATGGAGGCTGCTGAGCTGGTGGAAAGGCTGAAGTGTGGGCTGATTACTGTCCCATGTAGATACAGCTTCTCTTGCCACAGTAACAGGGTGGCCATGTATTAATGCGTTTCAACTTTAAGTTTGGTACCCATGGGTCTCAGTGACCTGGGTTTTTTCTCTATGTAATTCTCTACTCTAGTGCCAGCAACTAGAGGTAAGCATGAGATTTGTCTTCTGTCCTGGGGCTTGACTGGTCTTAGGAACCACCTCAACACCAGCCTGAGCTGTGCTGGCCAAGTGCAGGATCTGATATTGCTAAACAATAGACACTAGCTAGTGATTGGTCTGTGCAGTAGTTAAGTAGGTGAGAGTGTTGGCAAAATGTATTCTAACTAGATAGAAAAGTCTGCTGATGTTACCAGTTTCTGAGCCCATTGAGAACTCCATCATATAAATATAGAGTTTTTTTTTTTTTTTTTTTTTTTTTTTAGCCTTGTCCACTGACAAGTGATGGTTAGATTGTTTCAGGGCTATTGTCAGTTACCACTCATCCATTTGTTTTTCAGATTCTTGAGTTTTGTGGCTATTGTCTCCTGTGTTGGAAGACTATTCTCCATGAGTCTTTCACACATCTGCACATCTTGAGAGTGAGGCACTGACTGCCCTTTGTACTGGACTATCTTTTCAAGATTTTTAAGGATGTTTATTTCCCATGGTAGATCACTGTAATAGAGGCCTCCAACTTTTAGATCATGCTTTTAAAATAAAAATCTTTTACTATAATTTTTGTGGGGTTTCAGAAGAGAAAAAGTTAAATGAATGTATTCAATCCATGATATTAAGGTGTATCCATTTTGGATGAGTTACCCTCTGCTCTATTTCAAGTCAGCAGGTTGTGTCAATCATACCTTCTACTGTTTCCTCTGATCTTTTGAACCCTACTGCTACCATCCTTACACGGGTGGCCCAGAGGAACAGATCCTGCTATTTACTAGTGGTGTGACCTTGGAAAAGTTACTCTTGAATTAGCAGTTTCCTCCATTACTTGGTAGAGATAATAACGGTTTCTATCTCATGGGGTTTTTATAAGTATTTAATGATGCGTGGCTGTACAGCCATGGTTTCAGTTGATGCTGTGGTTGTCGTTAATATGGCCTTATTTCTCACATACATTCCCTCATCTAGACTCCATAACTAGTCTCCACACTCCTCATTTCTTCCTGCTTAAACTTCCATCCACTTCATGGATGTGAATTCCCTCATATTTAAAACCTCTGACGGCAGTCCATCTGAGCAGGGTAGATGGGTTACCTTTGAGATAAAAGCAGCCCCACCTTTGGAACAAAGTCTACAAGTCAGCTTTCCTTTATAATATATTATTAGGTGTAATTCTTGTATCCTTTTCATTCCTGTGGCTGTTCTGCCAATATGCTCCTCTTCTCAAATACATACACACATAAATGTGTTTTAAACTCCAACCACACAAACAAGCTTATACTTACTGAAACCTGGCATGTTTGTCATGTATTTGAGGCTATGAAAATTCTATTTTCTCTACGTGGAATGACTTTTCCTGGGTTTCCACTTATGTTTAAGGTCCGGTTCTCAATTATTGTCTGTGGTAGATTGTTATGGTAATGCCCTCCAATGAATCGTGTCTCCCAATGTCAACATGATGTTGCCACTCCTACACCAGGAGGTGGAGTTGGTTTCTCCATCCTCTTCAATCCAGACTTTGCCTTGTAATTTGCCTTGAAGAACGTGACGTGGCACACTTGACATTGTATGAGTTCTGGAGCCTAGGCCCTAAGAGGTCTTGCAGTTTTTATCCTGTCCTGCTTGGAACCCTAAGACCAAGAGGCTGTGAAGAAGCCCAATCTAACCTATTGGCAGATACAAGGTGACATGGAGAAGAACTGAGACCCCAGTTAAGAGTTTAAGAGTAAGCACCAAGGCCAAACAAATGAGTGAGGCCACTGTAGACCCTCCAGCCTCAGTTGAGCCATCAGATGACTATGGCCTCATGGCTGAGACCAGCAGAACTGCCCAGATTGCCGGTTCATGGAATCATAATCATAAGAAACAATAAATCACTGTAGTTGTAAGCAATTATAGTTTGTGGGTTTGTTATACAGAAATAGATAACTGATATACCTTCTCAGAGAAATATTCTAGACATACCCAATAAAAATTCATGATTCTCTCTCCTGGACTCAAACAGCATTTTGTCCATTCTTCTATTATGGCACATAGCTCATATAAATCATTGATCTACCTGTGTCTGTTTCTCTCACTAGATTAATAGCTTTTTAAGAGCAGGGGTCAAGTCTTTGTTCATCTTTATATCGTCTGTGACTACTCTAGAGCCTGGCACATAGCAACAGCAGGCATTTATTACTCAAGTCATAAACTCACCATCTCCTCCTGAAACCCTTCCACTTGCCCTCTTGGACTCATGATGAATCATAAATAAAATCAGTTAATATTCCTTTCATCTTCTCATTCTTCCCCAGTGGTCCTGCTTCCCTGCAGCCCTCTTACGTGGTGGCTATTTTCCCTCCCACACTTTATATACCATGGGGTTTACAGGTAGATAAGTGACTGTCCTGCTACTAACTGCTGCTTTCAGATCACCTTCATCCCCTCCCTCTTCTCTAAAACACACTCAGCTTTGACTCCCATACCATCTGATTAAACCACCTGTACCTCTTATTGTGAAAGTCATCTGCTGATCCCTGGTCCTTTGCTTCTCATTCCATAAAGATTTTAACTCACAACCACCTTCTCTAACACTCCCCCAGTAGTGATTTCAATATTCACACAGCTCAGTCTTCCAGTATCATGGCCTCTCAGTTCCTTAACCTCCTCTCCTCCAAAAATCTTACACTTTATCCCATTTCAATGCCTTGTTCCTATGGTTATATCTTATATTATTGTCCCTGCCAATAATCACAATCTTTCCAGAATCTCAATTTCAAACATGCCACCATCTAATCACCATCTACTATATTTTCAGCTCTCTTACTCTTGCCTCTGAAAACTCCAAAATTTCTTTGCCACTTGACTTACAATTTGTGGTAATTACTACTCTTCATGGTTCCTCATCCATCTCATGTTCTTGTTTTCATCCTTACTCAATTAAATGTAATGGGCAATCATTTTAGTTACTGTGCCTCTGTCTTGATCTATTATAACCTCAAACTTGCTATAACATCAATTAAGTCCACTTTCTACCTGAGGCATGCCCAAATCCACAGAGCTAAATGTGGATGGGGAAAAAAATTACCTGTCTTTAAATTCAAAAATATTAATCATCCTAAGAAGGTCACTGTATTAGTACATTCTCACACTGCTATAAGGATATACCCAAGACTGGGTAATTTATGAAAAAAAAAAAAAAAAAAAGAGGTTTGATTGAATCACAGTTCCGTATGGCTAGGGAGACCTCAGGAAACTTACAATCATGGCGAAAAGGGAAGCACGCATGTCTTAAATGGCAGCAGGCAAGAGAGTCTGTGAAGAAGAAACTGTCAAACACTTATAAAAACCATCAGACCTCGTGAGAGCTTGCTCACTATCATGAGAATAGCATGGAGGAAACCACCCCCACGATCCAATCACCTCTTACCAGGTATCTCCCTCGACATGTGCGGATTATGGGGATTACAATTTGAGATGAAATCAGAGTGGGGACACAGAGCCAAACCATATCAGTCACAATCAAAGTTCTATTTCCCTAGTCCAGTCAATCTCTACTTTCCTAGTTGACTAATTTATAACTTATGATCTCTCCTTGAACTTGCAAAATCTCTACCATTTTTGGTTTCCAGATTACTAGGAACATAGAGACAATGAGAAGATCTATAAGCTTCCACCACCTCCCATCACATCTGCCCACTTATTTGTACCTCTGTGCATCTATTATGCCTCCTTTCTTCCTTTTTTGTTTTGTTTTGTTTGTTTGTTTGAGACAGAGTCTCACTCTGTCACCCAGGCTGGAGTGCAGTGGCGTGATCTTGGCTCACTGCAAGCTCTGCCTCCTGGGTTCATGCCATTCTCCTGCCTCAGCCTCCCGAGTAGCTGGGACTACAGGTGCCCGCCACCACACCCAGCTAATTTTTTTGTATTTTTAGTAGAGACGGGGTTTCACCGTGTTAGCCAGGATGGTCTTGATTTCCTGACCTTGTGATCTGCCTACCTCAGCCTCCCAAAGTGCTGGGATTAGAGGCCTGAGCCACTGTGCCCGGCTGCCTCCTTTCTTCTTTCTATGAATAAATTGTATGTGTTTCTAGCTGAAACTACTCACCAATATGCATGTTAAATTCAATCCTCTCTTACCTATTCTTTGATATAACTCCTTGAAGTTTTCCCATTCTCCTACATCATCTCCCCCACCCCCACTGAGTCATTTCTATAATACAAACATATTATCTTTTTATTAAATTAAAAATCTACCTGTTCTGACCTAACGTACCCCTCTAGATATGACTGCATTTCTTCATTTTACAAGGGAAACTCCTTCCAAGATTAACTGTCTTAGCACCTCGAATCACTCTCCTCATCTCAGGTTGGACACACCCAATAAGGATTTTTGCTCCCAATGTTTCACAGAATGTGCACTTACCAAGGTCAGCAATGAATTCAGCATTGCTAAAGGCAATGATCAATTCTCAGCCCTTAGCTTCTCAGCATAGCTATAGTAGGTCACTCTACTCTTCCTTAAAACACTTTCTAGAAAAATTGGTGTCCAAGAAATTATATCCTCTTGATTTTTCCTCCTTGTCTCCAGCCACTTGTTCTATTTCTTTTGCTGTTTTCTTATTCTCTCCCTCACATCTATAGATTGGAGTACCCTGTGTTTTAGGAATTGGACTGTGTGTTCTATCTACACTCACTCCCTTGGTGACCTCATTATTCCTATGGCTCTAAATACTGTCTACATGCTGATGGCTTATGAACCCAGCACAGACACTCCCTTAAAATCCAAATCCACATACTGGAATACTTACTTGTCATCTCCAACTGAATGTCTAATAGGTCGCTAAAACTTGACCTAAAATTTGTGTTTTGATTTCTTACCCTTCAGCTAACAACTGCCCCCCACCCCAACCCCTGGCACCCCTATTATAGTATTCCTCATTGAAATTAATAGCAACTCCATTTTTCCAGTTGCTGAAGCCAAAAAGTGTGGATCATGGCTAATTCCTTTTTTTCCTCTCACATTCCATATCTGATCTATCCGCTAATAATATCTGTTCTACTCTATTAGTCGGTTCTCATGCTGCTAATAAAGACATACATGAAACTGGGAAATAAAGAAAAGAGGTTTAATTGACAGACAGTACAGCATGGCTGGAAAGGCCTCAGTAAACTTACAATCATGGCAGAAAGGAAAGCAAACACATCCTTCTTCACATGGCAGCAGCAAGGAGATGTGAAGAGTGAGGTAGAGGAAAAGCCCGTTATAAAACTATCAGATCTCATGAGAACTCACTCACTATCATGAGGAAAGCATGGAGGTAACCAACCCATGATTCAATTACCTCCCACTGCATCCTTCCCAAGACTCATGGGGACTATGGGAATTACAAATCAAGATGAGATTTGGGTGGGGACATGTCCAAACCATATCATTCTACCCCAGCCCCTCCCAAATCTCATATCCTCACATTTCAAAACACAATGATGCCTTCCCAACAGTCCCCCAAAATCTTAATTCATTCCAGCATTAACCCAAAAGTCCAAGTCCAAAATCTCATCTGAGACTAAGCAAGTCCCTTCCACCTATGAGCCTGTAAAATCAAAAGCAAGCTAGTTACTTCCTAAATGCAATGTGGGTACAGGCACTGGGTAAATATACCTGTTCTAAATGGGAGAAATTCACCAAAACAAAGGGGCTACAGGCCCCATGCAAGTCTGAAATCCAATAGGTAACTAATTAAATCTTAAAGTTATGAAATAATCTCCTTTTACTTCATGTCTCACACCCATGTTATGCTGATGCAAGAGGTGGGCTCCCACTATCTTGGGCAGCTCTGACCCGGTAGCTTTGCAGGGTACAGCCTCCTTCCTGGCTGCTTGCACAGCTGGTGTTTAGTGTCTGCAGCTTTTCCAGTTGCACAGTGCAAGCTGGGGGTGGACCTACCATTCTGGAGTCTGGAGGACAGTGGCCCTCTTCTTACAGCTCCTCTAGGCAGTGCCCCAGTGGGGACTCTGTGTGGGGACTCCAACCCCACATTTCCCTTCTGCACTGTTCTAGCAGAGGCTCTCCATGAGGGCTCTGCCCCTGCAGCACACCTCTGCCTGGACATCCAGGTGTTTCTATATATCCTTTGAAATCAAGATGGAGGTTCCCAAACCTCAGTTCTTGTCTTCTGCACACCCAGAAGACAAACACCATGTGGAAGCTGCCAAGGCTGGAGGCTTGCACCCTCTGAAGCCATGGCCCGAGCTGTACCTTGACCCCTTTTAACTATAGCTGGAGCAGCTGGGACACAGGGCATTAAGTCCCTAGGCTGCACACAGCAGTGGGGCCCTGGACCTAAGAGGAAAAATAAACATTTTTTCCTCTTAGGTCTCTGGGCCTGTGGTGGGAGGTGCTGCCTTGAAGGTCTGTGACATGCCCTGGAGACATTTTCCCCACTGTCTTGGCAATTAACATTTGGTTCCTCCTTACTTATGCAAATTTCTGCAGCCAGCTTGAATTTCTCCCCAGAAAATGTGTTTTTCTTTTCTACTGGTTCGTCAGGCTGCAAATTTTCCAAACTTTTATGCTCTCTTGTGTCCAGAGATGTCAAATGTCACCTCTTGAACACTCTGCACTTAGAAATGTTTTTCTGCCAGATATCCTAAATCATCTCTCTCAAGTTCAAAGTTTCACAAATCTCTAGGGCAGGGCCAAAATGCCACCTGACTTTGCTACAGCATAACGAGGGTTATCTTTGCTCCAGTTCCTAACAAGTTTCTCATCTCCATCTGAGACTACCTCAGCCTGGACTTTATTGTCCATATCACTATCAGTATTTTGGTCAAAGTCATTCAACAGGTCTCTAGGAAGTTCTAAACTTTCCCACATCTTCCTGTCTTCTAAGCCCTCCAAGTCTCTAGGAAGTTCCAAACTTTCCCCCATATTCTTGTCTTCTTCTGAGCCCTTCAAACTGTTCCTTCCTCTGCCTGTCACCCATGTTCCAAAGTCACTTCCATATTTTCTATTTTTTTTTTTTTTCTGAGACAGGGTCTCACAGACTGGAATGCAGTGGTGTGATCTCAGCTCACCACAACCTCTGCTGCCTGGGCTCAAGTGATTCTCCTGCCTCAGCCTCCCAAGTAGCTGGGATTACAGGTGCGTGCCACTACCACTGAGCTAATTTTTGTACTTTTAGTAGAGACAGGGCTTCACCATGTTGGCCAGGCTGGTCTTGAACTCCCGACCTCAAATGATCCACCTGCCATGGCCTCCCAAAGTGCTGGGATTACAGGCATGAGCCACCGCGCCTGGCTGCTTCCACATTTTCAAGTATCTTTACAGCAGTGCCCCACTACCTAGTAACAATTTACGGTATTAGTCCATTCTCATGCTGCTAATAAAGACATACCCAAGATTGGGTAATTTATAAAGGACATATGTTTAATTGACTCACAGTTCAGCACGGCTGAGGAAACTTACAATCATGGCAGAAAGTGAAGCAAATACATTGTCTTCACATGGAAGCAGCAAGGAGAAGTGCAGAGCAAAGACAGGGAAAAGCCCCTTATGAAATCATCAGATCTCATTAGAACTCACTCACCATCATGAGAACAGCATAGAGGTAACTGCCCCCATGATTCAATTACCTCCCACCAGGTCCCTTCCATGATATGTGGGAATTATGGGAACTATTATACAATTCAAGATGAGATTTGGGTGGGGACTTGGCCAAACCATATCATCTACCTTCAGACTTGAATCCGAATCTGACTACTTCACACATCTCCAGTGCTGATAGCTTAGTGTATTAGTCCATTTTCACACTGTTATAAAGAATGATCTGAGACTGGGTAATTTATAAAGGAAAGAAGCTTAATTGACTCACAGTTAATTACATGGCTGCGGAGGCCTCAGGAAACTTACAATCCTGGCAGAAGGTAAAGGGGAAAAAAGGCATGTCTTACATAGCGGCAGGAGAGAGAGAGAGCAGGGGGAAGTGCCACACTTTTAAACCATCAGATCTTGTGAGAACTCACTCGCTATTATGAGAACAGCACGGGAGAACCTTCCCCATGAGCTAATCACCTACCACCAGGTCCCTCCCTTGCCATGTGGGGATTATAATTTGAGATGCGATTTGGGTAGGGACACAGAGTGAAACCATATCACCTAGTCTGAGGCACCATTTTAATAATAGCCTCCTATCTGGCACCTAACCCCTCAATCCCCCAGGGAATTCTGAATATAATAGAGTGATCTCATTGAAAGGTAAGTCAGAGCATGTCAGGCCATGTGCAAAATCCTGCAGTGATAAGAGGCTAAGTGATCAAGCTCACCATTCTCACGTGGCTTCATCCCCACTCTCCTTATTTTCTTGACTCTATTATAGCTGCCCTGGCTCCTCCTCACAGATCCTCAATGTTCCAGGAACTCTCTTGCCTTGGGCACTGAGCTCTGGCTGTCTGGCATGCTCTCTCCCTCAATATCCATATGATTCAATCCCTCATCTCCTTTCCGTCTTTACTCAAATGTCATCTTCTCGAGGAGCTCTTTCTTGAGCACCTATTCCAAAGCTGCAACACTCCAACACTTCCCATCCTTTTGTGTATTTTATTTTTCTCCTTGGCCTTTATCACAATCTAAAATTCTGCAAGTTTTCCTTACTTATTTCCTCCTCTACTAGAATATAAATTCCATGAGGGTAGAACTTTTTATCTGTTTCATTTACTTCTGAATCTCAAGTCCTTAACAATGCTTAGAAAATAGTGAACACTCAATAAATATCTAAATGAATAAATTTAAAAAAATGAATGACCAAGTATATTGTAAAAAGAACCAGAGTACTTTGGGAGGCCAAGGTGGGCGGATCACCTAAGGTCAAGAGTTCGAGACCAGCCTGGGCAACATGGTGAAACCCTGTCTCTACTAAAAATACAAAAAATTAGCCAGGTGTGGTGGCGGATGCCTGTAATCCCAGCTACTCAGGAGGCTGAGACAGGAGAATCGCTTGAACCCAGGAGGTGGGGGTTTCAGTGAGCTGAGATCATGCCACTGCACTCCAGCCTGGGTGACAAGAGCAAGACTCTGTCTAAAAAAAAAAAAAGAACCAGAGGAAATTTTAAAAATAAAAAATAATTGAAATTACATACTTAAAACCTGGATTAAAGGGACAATTATTTTTCAAAGAAAAGCAGGATATCAAGAAAAGAGAGATACTTCATGGCTCATTTATGAGGCTAGCATAAATTTGATACCCAAACCAGCAACAATGGTAAGAAAAACAACAGATCAGTGTGGCCTGTGAAATAGATACAAACATCTTAAACATTATTGAACAAAATCCAGGAATGTGAAAAATAATATAGTAAAATTACATACATAGTCTATATTATACTGTATATTATACATGAATAATATATATAGTAAAATTTCATTTACATAAATTTTAAAATTAGAGAACACTAACAATACAAGTATCCTTCATTACCCAAATCTATCTGGGCTCTATTTTGGACTGAACGTGTCTCCTCCAAATTCATATATTGAAATCTAATCCCCAACATGATGGCATTAGGAGTCCTTTGGGGGAGTTTATGAAGGAGGGCCCCTCACAAATGGAATTATTACCCTTTACAGAGAGGCCAGAGAGCTATTTAGCTTACTTTTTTTTTTGAGATGGAGTCTCACTCTGTTGCCCATGCTGGAGTGCAGTGGCGTGACCTCTGCTCACTGCAACCTCCACAGTTCAAGTGATTTTCCTGCCTCAGCCTCCCAAGTAGCTGGGACTACAAGCACGTGCCACCACACCCAGCTATTTTTTTTTTTTTTTTGTATTTTTAGTAGAGACAGGGTTTTGCCATGTTGGCCAGGCTGCTCTCAAACTCCTGACCTCAGGTGATCCACCCACCTCAGCCTCCCAAAGTGCTGGGATTATAGGCATGAGTCACGGCACCCGGCCCCCTATCTAGCTTTCTTTCCACCAAACAAGGATACAAGAAGAAGTCAGCAGTCTACAACCTGGAATGGGCTCTTACCAGAACCTATGATGGTACCTGATCTCAGACTTCCAGCCTCCAGAACTGTGAGACATGAATTTCTGTTCTTTATAAGCCACCCAGTGTAGGGTGCTTTGTTCTAGCAGCCTGAGCTGAGTAAGACAGTACCTGAGTTCAAAGAGTGACAGTCTCAATAATGAGCTGGGATACTTACTTCAACTGGGTCTACTTATTTTTTAGGTTAATATACAGTAATATTGACCCTGTGTGTGCGTGTGTGTGTGTGCTGTTCCATGAATTCTGTTGTTGTTGTTGTTGTTGCTGAGACAGAGTCTCGCTCTGTTACCCAGGCTGGAGTGCAGTGGCACGATCTCAGCTCACTGCAACCTCTACCTCCCAGGTTCAAGTGATTCTCCTGCCTCAGTCTCCCAAGTAGCTGGGACTACAGGCACGCACCACTACGCCCGGCTAATTTTTGTATTTTTTAGTAAAGATGGGGTTTTGCCATGTTGGCCAAGGTGGTCTCAACCCCCTGACCTCAGGTGATCCCCCTACCTCAGCCTCCTAAAGTGCTGGGATTACAGGCATGAGCCATCATGCCTGGCCTGTTCCATGAATTTTGGCCTATGTATAGAGTCATGTTACCATCACCATAATCAGTATACAGAACTGTTCATCTGTTCATCATCATCATCTCATAAAACTCCCTCCTGTTGTCTTTTGCAGTCACACTCGCCCTGCAAATGCCAGTTGCTGGAAACCACTGATCTAATCTTTATCACTACGGTTTTGTGATGTATACAATGCTGTATACCTGAAATCACATAGCATGTAACCTTTGAGACTGCTTCTTTCACTCAGAAAAATGACCTAGAGATTAATCCAAGTTGCTACCAGTATCAATAGTTCCCTGGTTTTTGTTGCTGATTGTGGAGAGACTACAGTTTGTTTATCCATTTACCCGTTCACTGAAGGACATTTGGGTTGTTTCCAGTCTTTGGAGATGATGAATAAAGTTGCTATATTCTTCAGTATACTTCAATAAAAGTTGCTATAAACCCTTACATACAAGTTTTTGTATAAACACAAGTTTTCATTGCTCTTGGGTGAATACCCAGGAGTGGGATTGCTGGTTCATATGGTAAGCATTGCTTAACTGTGTAAGAAACTGCCAAACTAGTTCCCAAAGTAGCTGCACAATTTTCCATTCGTATCACCAATATGTGAGAGTTCCAGTTGCTTCACATGCTCACCACCACTTGGTACTGTCAATATTTTTATTTTTAGCCATTCTAAAAGGTATATAGTGAAAACTAAGTCCTTTGGTTCCCGAATTTTGAAAAGCATATAGGCAGATTAAGAGAATCATCTAAAATTTTATCTTAATTTATTTGGTTACTTGTTTGGATAGCAAAAGATACATACCTAGGTAGTAAAACTATGAAGAAAAACAATGAATTGATTAGTATACAAGCAGATAGTGTTTAGGGAAGTGGATGCAATACAGTAGGTACCCAAGGGGGCTCTAAGATATTGATAATAATGTTCTTTATAAGGCAGGATGGTAGGTACATGTACTGTGTTTTATTATTTTTGAACTACCCATGTGTTTTAATATATTTCACAATAAAATATTTTAAAAGAAAGATGAGCACACAAAGCACAATATAAGGAATGAAGAAAAATAGTTTAAAACCTCTCTTTCAGGAGGTCAAGTACACTGAGTTAAAAAACTGAAAATAAAAGCATTTTGTAGAATTTGAATATAACACTTTCTTAAAAACCTGTTTAATTTCTTTAATATTTCTGTGCTTGTGTGTATCCCACAGGCAAAGTTGCTGATGCGCCACTTTATTAATGGGTTTATTTATTCCCAGCAGCCTCAATCTACATGCACTTGAAGGGCTGGTCATGGTAAGGTCATTCTTAATGATGGGCAACAAGTAGCTTCTTCCTGGAAACTAAGACTAGGATGGGACCTGAGTCAAGAAACACACTGAATGTTTCATTTTTACTATTCACAGATCTTCAGACACCCCTCAGGCCGCAATCTAGACTTATAACTCTTTGGTAGTTCTGACTGTTACCAACACCTTGCAAGGAGGGTGTTACCTGTGACGACACTGGGGATTTTGGAGAGAAAGCTCTTGACTGTTCTGATGGGCACACCCCCTGTCTTGTCATCTTGCATCTTTGTAATGATGTCTTCAATCTGAAAGAGGTTAAAGAAAAGAAGTGTTATTTTCTCCCATAATGTAATTATAAATGGTACCTTTTTAAACAGCCCAAATGTATAAACATGGATGTCAACAATAGATATCACAAAAAGCTCCCATCTAGTTGGTCAATAAATACAGCATCAGTATCTGCTATCTACCAAGTGCTGGGTATAGGGAGGTCTGAAGGTTATATACAGAGCATAAGTCATGTCCTGGAACAAGATCCCAGTTCAACAAGGTATGGAGGAAGAAATACATTAGGATTCTTGATGGGATCCAACATGTAATTTAATAGGTATGTGATCACAGTCTCCTTCTTTTCCAAATTGGGTTTACATATAGGTTGAACCATATGAAATTTCTATATTCAACCCCCACCCCTTCCACAAAGGCAATTTCTTATGGTTCAATATAATATGTTAACATAGATTAACATGCTGCTATTGGGAATTGCAGACAGGGCTACCTTTGGGACTAGAGAAGGATACATCTAGAGTAACATGAGAGAAAAACCAGATATGGAAAGCTCTGATCTGAAGAAGTTGGAAAACAGGTCTCAGTGGTCATGAGTGGTGGTATGTGGATAGCTATTTTAGCCTGGACTAAGGTGGTCAAGGACAGGAACTTCTCCTTTTGGTAAGACCATGCTATCAGGAAAAAAGATCATAGTGGACTGTTGACATCCTACTGGTGAAAACAGAACAGAGAATGGGGATGGACTGATGAGGGTGTAGGTGCCTAAACCGGAAAACCAATTTGTAGTTAATAATTTACGAGCCAGAGTAATTTCCTGAGCAGAAATCTTCAGAACAGGATACAGAAAGAATTCTGTAATAAGGATACATCTTTTTGTTTGGGGAAGGGAGAGCAACTGAAGGGGAGAAAATAATGTTTAGTATTATCACGTTTTATTTTCCTAACCAATAGAAATATCTTTGAAACACCAGGATGGAGTCTCTGAGTGAGTTCTTAATAGAGGCTCACATCATAAGGCTAGAAATTAGTCTTACAGCTCACTTATTCTAACATACTATGATTGCAACTTGATGATAAGTGATTTTCTTGAAGACACATGACTAATAACTTGTTTGATAGAAATAGATAACTTGTTAGAGGCAAAGTTAGAGCACGGCATAACATCATCATCATCATCATAAATAGCTAAAATATATTAAAAATTTATTATGTGCTAGGTACTATTCTAAGTATTATACACACATTATCCTGTTTAGTCCTCATAATTACTTGATGAAATAGATTCTACTATTATCTCCATTTTTTCACATAAAGAAACAAAGATATAGTGAGGTGCATCAATCAGGGTAGGGTGGATTAAGTTATGGCAGCAAATAACCCCCCAAATGTCAGTGGCTTAGCACAAAGGTTATTTCTCTGTCATGCTACATGTCTAGTGTAGGTCAACAAGGGAACCCTACTCATTGGAGTTACATCACCTTGCATGTTGCTGGTCAATGTGCCAGGGGGACAAGAGAGAATTCTGGAGAGTTTCTCACTGGGTATTAAATAGTGTAATCCAGAAGTTACATAGAGCATGTTTGCTCACAATCCTTGGCCAGAACTGGTCACATAGCACCACCCAACCACAAAGGAGCCAGGGACTCAGTCCTCTGGGTGACAGGAGGAAAGGGGAACTGAAGATCTGTGATCAACATCAGGGACAACTGCAGAGGTTAACCAACCTTTGCAACTTTCGCAGGGTCACACAGCTACCCAGGTGTGCAGCCAAGTTTGAATCCAGCCATAGATCCCAGAATGGCATCTAACCCCTGAGCCATTCTGCCTCCCAGAAAATCAGCCAAACAGGGAAACCATTCTCACTGGACTCTTCTGGGTTTCTCTAAGAAGTACTGAGAGTGAGAAAGAATTCTAAGCTCCCAGCCCTTCAGGAGGTAGATGAGTATTATGCTAGAAAAGACAATCATTCTCTGAAGACCTGCATTCTGTTAGATGAAAACTGAAGAGGGAGTTTTATCCCAATTCATGTTAATCATCTCAGTTACTGCTGGCCTTTGTCTCCTAAACTCAATCCAACAATTTAGAGCAATTTGAGTATTATTTATTGATAGCCAAGGAGAGCTAGAAAAATGGTCACATTTTCAAGGTAATTTATGCTTTTGATCTAGCATATTATTTGAAACCAGAAGTATCAGTTACATTGATGGTTTCTATGAAAATGGCCAGAAAATCATTGAGAATTGGAAGGAAACCAACAATTCAATTCAGGTAGACCCCGGAGTGGACATTAGATAGTAACTGTTTACACCTCTGCTGCTGCGGGCTGGATTTGAAGGATTGGTTCTGTGACTTCTTTGTCCTCCACTCAGTTTAGTTATTTCACCACACGACTGAATCTTAGAAGGCTCATTTACTAAAGAGGTCCTTTTTCCTTATGTTTGCCCACAATTTACTAAGAGGTACATCACTCATCAGGGGTTACAGCTAGATCAAAAAAACAATCCCCTCAACTAACAGAAAGAAGACTACACTCCAGCAACAGTCTGCAACATCACAGGTGTGGAAGAAGGAATTATTGCCCCCCAGTTCCTGACTCCCCCATGGTATTAATATACACCTGAATACTTGCCTTGGCCTCATAGTGAGCAGTGTCTACCTTTTCCCTTTCGGGTTTGGCCATATGATTTGCCTGGCTACTGGGGTGTTATTGAATGTGATATGAACAGGGACTTGCTATGTACCTGCATGGCTGTAGTTACTCCCTTCTCTTGCCCTCTTACCATGAGAAGAACACGCCTCAGAATAGTTGTTATTTCAAGGAAGATGAGAGACATCTGGAGCAAATGGTACTGAACCCATTGCTAGATCAGCCAAACCTAAGCTGGCCTATAGACTCATGAGCAAGCAATAAAAGTTTATTTATTTTTTATTTTATATATATTTTTTGAGACGGAGTCTCACTCTTCACCCAGGCTGGAGTGCAGTGGCGTGATCTAGGCTCACTGCAAGCTCTACCTCCCAGGTTCATGCCACTCTCCTGCCTCAGCTTCCTGAGTAGCTGGGGACTACAGGCGCCTGCCACCACGCCTGGCTAATTTTTTGTATTTTTAGTAGAGACAGGGTTTCACCATGTTAGCCAGGATGGTCTCGATCTCCTGACCTTGTGATCTGCCCACCTTGGCCTCCCAAAGTGCTGGGATTACAGGCGTGAGCCACCACGCCCGGCCATAAATGTTTATTTTTATAGATCACTAAGTTTGAAGTGGTTTGCTCTACAGCAAAGTTATGATACAACAACACTCTGAAAAAATGCATTTATCAGAAATTTCTGAAGCCACAAAAAATACTTGACATTCAGTGTCAGTGACTCTTAGAATTGGGGTATCTCTGAATCACCCTTTCTAAGAACGCAGAAATTCAATTTATTACCATCCACCATCTATTTTAAAACTCTTAGGGACTATATATACTATTTCAGGTAGTCCATTTCTTTGTTGTGTCAGACAAATTTTTGACATTGTTGTATTTGATTCTTGAGCACAGTCCACTACAATATCGGGTAATACTCTCTAAAATTCCTTGTCATGGTTTCTGGAGAAGTCCCAAGAGTACAGACCCAATGAAAATTACAAGTGGGCTCTCAGGAACTGATCAAAATCATTATAAGTATTTTCAGAACATCTATTTCATGATCAATACTGCCCTAAGTATTTTAAATAAATTATTTAATTGATTTCCCGGTCATAAAAGTTATTTAATAAAGACATTGAAATTGAGGCTTAGAAAGGTTAAGCAATTTATCCAAGGTCAAACAGCTAGTAAGTGGCAAGGCCAGGATTCCTACTCACCTCTACCTGACTCCAGTGTACAGCCCTGTTTATCAAATCTAAAGTTCATCTTCTATTTCTCAGACTTTTAGAAAACCTTGGTTACAAAACTTCTGAGTAGCGTATTAGGTTCAGTAATGGGGGCAGCTCCTGGAAGGTAATGTTCAGAGGCATGAACCCAGTGAGTGGCCCAGAGCCTGGCTGATCCTAGGAAACTTCTCGCAGCGCCATATGCCAAGGTTAGTGCTTTGTTTGCTGTGGATCCCAGAGTGAGTTCCAGCAGATCCTGGAGTTAGCCCCTTACACTATACAACCCATTAAATCTTGAGCTGAACATGGCAAATAAAGCTTTTAGTCTCAGTGCCACCTGGTAGTCTCCAAACTCTGCACTTTTCTGCCTCTAGGATTTTCAATTCATTTCTTCCTTGCTGGACAATGAGTATAATTTATTTTACCTTAAAAAGGGGTAACTCTTTGTTCTCTATGGCCTTAGTAGTTGATTAAAAATACAGAACAGAGGCATATATACACAGCGTCTCATCTCCCTCCTTACATTCAAAACATTTTGCAGGCAGAGACTATTCCTGGATTTTCATTTTCATTTTCTTAGTTAACATTAGTTGAGTATCCACTCTGGGCCAGGCACTGCTCTAAGAGCTTTATCTTATAAAATTATTGAATTCTCACAGGAGGTAGATTATTATATCCCCATTTTATAGACAAGAGAACAAAGATTCATCTTTATGTTCTCAACCAAAGCCTGCCAACAACCTTTTCAGACACAAGGCACTTAATACCATTTGCATCAAAGGGAAAGTTTAGCACAGGCCTAAAAGGGCAGAGGAGGATGCAGAGAAATTGACCCAGAGAATCAGATTCTCAACCATCTCATGATTTATTTCTGCCCAATGACTGCTGCTGTCTTGCTGTGCAGGGCTCTCTCCCTTTGTCCCATGGGATTGGTTAGATTTATCTTCCACTGGCCGATCATGGCTTGTGGGTCAGGGATGGGGTGATGGGAAGGTATAGAGACTTACGTTTTCCTGACTGTTCAGTTCCTTCTAACTTCTGACATCTTTTGTTCCTAAAGAAGAGCAAAATCAATTCCCTGACATCCTTTAATATGAAGTTCTGTGTCATTAGGGAGGATGTTTGGACTTAAGCGTCACTGTGCCAATCAATAAGCAGGTGGCCCTTATCTGACAGCCAAACGATGCAGAGAAACCACTTGGCCAGCTAGGCTGGTTCTGCCTGGATGGGCCACAGCCACGAGAATGTCCTTCTTCAAGGAGCTCAAAGCTCAGCACTGACAGGCAGGTAAAACATTCTTCCAAACAGCAGGACACTGGAAACCATTATGCCATAGAGTGGGTTTTCTTTTAAATGGGAAATATAAAAAGATAGACACAATTCACTGAAATAGCCTCAAGAGTGTGCGAGAGGAGTGAGGAGAAGCAATCCTCTCTTTACAAATGGAAGCCGCAGAGGGGCAGTAGGAAGAACATGGGGGAGAACCCAGGAGACTGGCTGGCCTCAGCTTCTCTGACATGCTGTGTTGACCTGGGACAAGTTGCTTCACCTATCTGGACTTCACTTTTCTCATCCCTACAGTGATAGGCCTGGTTGCTTAACAGAGGTTTCTCATTCTGAAACTGGAGACTTCACAAAGTAAAACTCTGTCTGCAAGGGAAGGGCAGGAAAGGAAGCCAGGTCTCTGAGATCTTCCTCTCCATGTTGTCTGTCTTACCAGGTGGATTCTCACAGAACATGTCTCTGCACTAAGAGGTGCAAGGTAGGGGAAGCATGTTGGGCAAAACTGGGGAGTTTCTGATGTTTTCAGAAACTGTGTTGGGCAGATAGCATCAGAAGCCAGACAGAGAAATGACCCGGAGAGGCCCTCACACTGCTCCTTCTCCATGCCTCTTGTCTCTGCTTTGACCCGTGACACTCCTAACAGAAACGACAAAGGGCAATATTAATTTTTTTTCTATAAATTCATGATCCAATGAGCTAATTTACTTAGCTCCTTCAATTTTTCCCCAGTGGAGATGTTAAAAACTTAAAGTATAGCAAACTATATTGTGATTGTTTTTTAAAAAAATCTACCACAACTTCAACAAAGAAGCAAAGAGTATGCCTCAAGCATGAAGGTTCTTTTTACTGAAGCACTTCATCTTGACTTTGCAATCAGTTGCCTGTTTCTAGCTACTAATGACTGTCACGTCAGAGTCTACCTTTCAGCAAAGACCCCTTCTGTTTTGGTGTCTGCAAAGGAGTGAAAATGACTCCTCGGACACCATCTTATCAGCCCAGAGGCAGAAATCAGAGCTGACAAATGATAATCATATTTCTTAATCCAAAATGTGCATGCTTCATTGAGCAGGCTCTGCCCCATATGTGTTCCAAAAGATCAGGCTATTTCTCTTTTTTATTTTTAAAGACACAATGCATTGCGATTTTCAACTTTTGCATGTATTTGTGTGTACGTACTGGCTTAGTGGACATTCACTGAGCACCTACCAAGTGCCATGCACTGTGTTCATTTCTACAGTTATGAAAACAGGTAGAAGACAGAATCTGTTCTCCTTCCTCATGGACTAATACATTTCAGAGTGACTCAGGGAACTAGGCTTACAGTTAAGGCTGTGTTGGAGGCTGAAGCTAAGATAAGCATGGGTTCCAAGGAGGTTGGAAGTGAAACACTGAGGAATGCCACCACAGGCCTGTGGAAGAAAACCATCACGGCTCCCTTCTTCTTTCCAACCCTCTTTTATCATCCCATTCAAAGGCTGCAATTTCAATGGCACAAGTGGAATTTGGGGATTCCACCCGCTAACTATGACAATGATCAAAATGCCTATTAATTTGTTTTCGGCTAAGCCTATGTTTGAATCACTGTATCTGTTTAGAATGCTTTTCATGGAAAGTAACCACAACAAAAAAATCCAATCTCCAAAGATGGGGGCTGATATTTTCCACATAACAAGCAGTCCATATGTGTGTGGTGCTGACATTGCTGCAGAGGCTCTATTCTATGAACACCAACATCTTGGTCTTTCCCTTGTGGTTGCCTGATGGCTGCCCAGCTCTAGTCATCCCTTCTCTGTGAAAGGTGGGAAGGAGGGGGAGGGGGAACAGCTGCACTCATTCCTTTTATCAGGAAAAGCATATTCCTTCCCAGAAGACCTCAACAGATCACTGCTCAAGTCTCAGGCCAGAGCAGGGTCACATGACTACACTGAGCTGCACAGGAGGTGGGGAAGAAGGTGTTTAACTTTTCCAGCCTCTATACCACATGGAAGCAGGGCAAGAGGAGAATGGAAATGGGGTTAACCATGTAACACTGTCTACCACGAGACCTTGCGTTAAACAACACTCGTAAAGGATGGTTGGGCAGGCCCTGAAGCCTCTCTGATCTGTTTCCCACACTGCAGCCTATATGATACTCTTAAAAGGGAAAATATGACCATTTAACTCCCCTACCTAAAATCTGTCCATGGTGTCCCAGTGCTTATCCTGTTATAAGCTCTTATTAAACCCTCTATCTTTTCTCCATATCAACGATCGCTCTAATTTGCATTTGTATCACCCATTAGAGTGGTTTGCTCACCACTGAATCCTAATAGGTACTCAGTAAATATTTCTTGAATGACTGCATCAATGAACGAATGAATACATGAATGACATGAGTGCTATATTCTTAAAGAACTTTATCTTGGATTCCAGCATTCAGTGGGACTCAATATATTAAAAGGGTCTTGGAGGTAGTGATGTCTGCAATTTACAGTAAATTTAGTATTTACACTTAAGATCATTTTGCTTTGCGAATGGATTCCATAACAAAAATCTGAAGATTTCATGAACCTTAGCAACAATGTTCAAGGAAAAGCTCCAAAGGCATCCAAGTACCAGTTGAGTGGGGAGCCAGTTCCCCAACGTTCTGTGCCTGACATTACCCAGGGACAGTACCAGGGCAGACGGATGACACAGCATTATTTGTTTTGTCCCCTGGAGGCTTACTTTTACAGTTTTAATATTGCCATATGGAGTGCTTCATAAATTACTTTTACGGAAAACATTTCATTTTCTTTCATCTAATGGGAGAAAAAAGCAGACAAGAATGACCTTCTAAGTCTGAGATCAAATGGCTTGTTGATACTTTAGGGAAAATGTCTTTCCCCTGAGCTTGGCTGGAATAGCCAAGCTTTAGAAGGCATCATCTTTCTTGTTTAAGAATCTGTTGTTTGCTTTGCAATGTAAGTGGAGCAAGTCCTTTTGGTCAGGCCCTGGACTGAGGAATCTCTGACCGCAGATGGCCAGCAACAGTGCGGATGAGGACAATAGATACTGGCCAATGAAATATTCTAGCAACCGCAGAAGACCTAAAATCCTTTTATTCTAATCTCCTCAAATTACCTGAATTTGAGTGTGTCAACCTCTTCTTGTTGGGAACCATCACTCCTTTACAGAAAAACATGCTGATATTTGGGAACGGTAAATTGTTCAAGGCCAAGTGAGACTGCTGGATAAATGAGATTATTGGCATGAACCAGAGCTGGCTCCATGGATCACCACATCAGCTGGCCAGGGCAGCTGCCAGGGTGGCCCGGGCTCACCTAAGGCTTTAGCTGAGTGGAAGAAGATACGAAAACGGGGCCATGCCATAAGCATCAAAGTTTAATACACACTATAGAAGGCAGAAAAATGTTCCCCCAAAAGAGATCCATGTCCTAATCCCTGGAATCTGTGAATATGTGACTTCACATGGCAAAAGGGACTTTGTAGATGTGATTAAGGCTAAGGATCTTAAGATGGGAGATGACCCTGGTTATCCAGGTATGCTCAGTGAATCACATGGGTCCTTGAAAGCAGAAGACCTTTCCCAGCTATAGTTGGTTAGAGACAGATGTGATGATGGAAAAGGGGTCAGATAGATGGGACTTTACTGATTTTGAAAATAGAGGAAGGGGCCACAAGCCAAGGAATGCAGGCAGCTCCTGGAAGCTGGAAAAGGCAAGAAAAAAGATTATCCCTTAGAGCCTCCAGAAAGAAACACAGTCCTGCTAGCAACTTGATTTTAGCCCAGTGAGATCTTTTCAGATTCCTGACCTTCAGAACTATAAGATAATGAATGGATTTATGTTGTTCTAAACCATTAAGTGTATGGTAATTTGTTATAGCAGCAATAGAAAACGAATACACACAGTGATCCCCATCACCAGCAAATATTTGGCTAATCAGTATTCTGCATTGTCTCCAAAACAGATTAGTATGCATCTTCTCCTTCTGGGGAAGCAGGGGGTGGATTTCCCCAAACTCTGCAGCTCTCTGTCCCTCTGAACAGCTTCATGGCCTAACCAGTCATCACCTAGGACCTGTGGTAGCCCACTTGGGGAAGATGTCAGGGATGACGACAGGGAAGATGCCTGTCTATAAACCCTAAGTCATTGCCTCCACGCCATTTTCAATGCTGCATTTTTTTTGATCTCTCTGGGACCAATTAGATGGGTGGCTTAGAGGTTATTTCTGGGAACTTTTTTTTTTTTTTTTTTTTTTTTTGAGACAAAGCCTCTGTTGCACAGGCTAGAGTGCAGTGGCCTGACCTCGGCTCACTGCAACTTTCACCTCCCATGTACAAGCAATTCTCCCACCTCAGCATCCCAAGTAGCTGGGATTACAGGCATCCACCACCACGCCTGGATAGTTTTTTTTTTTTTTTAAGACAGAGTCTCAGTCTCACTTTGTCACCCAGGCTAGAGTACAGTGGCCTGATCTTGGCTCACTGCAACCTCCTGGGTTCAAGCAGTTCTCCTGCCTCAGCTTTCCAAGTAGCTGGGATTACATGTGTGTGCCACCATGCCCGACTAAGTTTTGTATTTTTGGGAGATATGGAGTTTCGCCATGATGGCCAGGCTGGTCTCAAACTCCTGAACTCAAGTGATCTGCCTGCCTTGGCCTCCCAAAGTGCTGGGATTACAGGCATAAGCTACCACACCTGGCCTCTGGGAGCTTCTTAATTGGGTCACAGTAGCCTATTTAAGTATCACAAGCATGAAAAAACAAAGATCCTTTTTTATTTCTCATCTCACATTTTACCTAGCCACATTTTTTAACCCAGCCTACCAAGGAGAATTGTACATGGAACACCATGTGGCAACCTAGCCCAAATAATTCAACCAGCACTGTGAAATGCTGCATATTTGAACATAAGGCCTTTAATATTAAGTTTCTACAAAAATATTCAAGTTCTAACATATATATCATTTTTCTCTTACTGCGGCAGAGAGGTCAATAACCTTGTTTCCAAAGAAAAACAAGTCCATCCAGTGTCCTGGAATATTACTACAATTTCTTCCTCCTGGAAAAGGCAGGGAACATAAGGCCTTGTCCTCCCTCTGACCCCAAGGACACCCTGGACTCTAGGATCACTCATCCTTTCTGGTTCATTTCCTTTCTGACGCTTCCTTGAACCAAACAACTGAACTAGCAACTGGAGTGAATCTGAGGGCTTGGAATAATTGATGTAAATTATCTCTTTGGTGAAAAACTGCTATGGCTTCCCACAGCTACAAAATAAATGCCAAATTCCCTACTATGGAATTCAAGGTCCTCCATCATTCGGCATCTGCCACCTTTCCAGCACCACCACTCCTCCCAGCCTGTTTTGCTTCTGGACACACTTATCTGCAAAACTCTCCTGAGTCTGCTTGCTGGTCATGGACTTCATCCACCCACAACAAACACATCCAAATCCTTGGCATGCTTCTAGGCCCTGCTCAAAAGCTACTTCCTCCAGGAAACTTGATATTCCAGTACTTGCATACATATGTATTATACATGTTACTATGGTTTGGCCCTGTGTCCCCACCCAAATCTCATGTTGAATTGTAATCCCCAGTGTTAGAGCAGAGGCCTCGTGGGAGGTGAGTGAATCATGAAGGCAGACCTCCCCTTTGCTGTTCTCATGAAAGTGAGTCAGTTTTCATGAAATCTGGTTGTTTAAAAGTGTGTAGCACTTCCATCTTTGTGCTCTTTTCCTCCTTCTGCAGATATGTAAGACATGACTTCGTCCTCTTTGCCTTCCACTATGACTGTAAGTTTCCTGAGGCCTCCCCAGCCATGCTTCCTGTACGGCCTGTGGAACTGCAAGTCAATTAAACCTCTTTTCTTTATAAATAACACATTCCCAGCTATGTCTTTATAGTAGTGTGAGAATGAACTAATACCCATGTTCTATATTTTTTATTCCTTTTTCCCATTCCAAGGCTGCGAGGCAAGAACCTGAATCAAGTCTTTCTCCCTCTGCTCCAGTCACGAGAGCCACATACCTCTACTTAGGACCAATTTCATATTCTCTGTTACTGAAGTTCCGCTTCTTTCCCTCTGGAACATAACTTTCTGGAGGGAAGATTCAGTTCTCATCTCTGAATCACTCCTGGTCCTCTACATCTGCTCTGCATGGGACAGAAGTAGAGAATAGAAAAGATCATACTCATTCCTTAAAAAAATATTTCAGGGCAATGAGAGAGCCTTTCACAGTCTCCCAGAGCTCTGGAGAGAAGTGCATTTTCAGATGGAACAAGAAGGGTGAGAATGAAGTTTCCTCAGCAGCTGCAAAAACTGGAAAGCCTTGAGAAGGCTTAAAGAGTCTGCATCTGAGGCTGTCATCACCAGACCCTCCCCTCTCCCTTCACTTTGTCTACAGGTCAAAGTGATGCCCCCAGATGGCCCACCTCATTCTCTGGAGATCTTCCCAGCCTGCCTGCACCCTAGGGCCCTTGTCTGCCTTGCACGATGACCACTACCCTTCCTCCTGAGGGCTGCTTCTGCTGCCCCTCCTGAGCACCTGGCTGTGATTCTACGCATTTGGGGCTTCCTCTGGCCCCTTGAAACCTGCCCTAAGGAGCCTCCTTCTTTTTACCATTTCCTTAGATGGCAGGCTCCCTGCTCCAGATAGTGCCATTATCTTCCCCAGGCATTTTCTTCTTTCACTATGTCATTGTTCATGTTTGATGTCCCAGACTGCTCCAGTGAGCACATGAGAGCCACCAGCTGGGGAGGGATACTGAGATAAATTGTAGTGTAGAGAACTCTCCTCACAATTTATAAGCAAAATCAGGTAGAAATGAGCATCAAGGTCAGTCCCAAAGGGGAAGCAGAGAGAATCATCACTCATTCCAAATATAAATTATATTTGAGCACTCACTGCATGCTAGGTGCTGGGAAACTGGAAAGGCAGGGCCCTTCCCTTGGTGCTTTCTTATAGCAGAGGGGCCCCTTGAGGATTTTAAATGAGTCTAAAAAAGAAGAACAGTCCCCAGGAGGGCCGCAAAGAAGGAGGTGCAACCACAAGGCTGACTTCAGGAAATTCCTGCCTGATCCCAACAGCACCTGAGGTCCTAGAACCTCACAGGGGGTCCCAGGACAAACCTCTTCCTTGTGTTGCCTGAGACCCAGCAGCAAAGATCCCTTTTTTGGTTTCATGTCTCATGCCTTTCCTGCTGATTTTTAATGCTGCCTCCGAACACACCAGCTCAGGCTCTGCTGCTTTCATGAGTGCCTTTCCAAGTGACATCAGAGTGCTGTTCCTGCTCTGTAACTGACTGCCCAGAGACCATCATCTCATCTGAAGACTTGGAGTCCTTCCCCTCATGGTGTTCCTGCACCAAAAAATGTCCTCTGCATTGCCCCACTTCCCACTCTTTACATAGAAGGCAGCATGACCAGGCACCCCCTAGTCTTTCTAAATTGGCTGGTCTCTCCACTGCCCAGCTCTTCAATCCAGCCACCAAAGGATTCAACAGAATGGGCTAAGGTACAATGGCATTTTAGTTCTTTAGTTCTTTTGGACTACTATCAGCAAAATATCTTTGCCGGGGTAACTTATAAACAATAGAAATTTATTACTCACAGTTCAGGAGGCTGGTAAGTTCAAGATCAAGTCACTGACAGATTTGGTGTCTGGTGAGGGCTTGTTCTGCTTTCTTAAACGGCACTTTCCATGTGTCCTGATAAGCCAGCAGAGCCAAACAGGCTTCCTCAAATCTAATCTCATTCATGGAGGTAGAACACTAATGACCTAATCACCTCCAAGGGCCCCACCCCTTAACAGTATCACATTGGGGGCTGGGTTTCAACATATGAATTTTGGTGGGACACAACATTCTGATCATAGCAAATGGGTACTTTTTATTCTTTTCTTTATGCTTTACAGTGATATTTACCAAAATATCTCTAATATCCATGAACTACTTTTTATCAATTCTAAAGGATAATAGTTTATTTCTCAAATTTATTTT